>NC_000006.12:17484242-17635757 GCF_000001405.40 Homo sapiens
GAAAGATAGAAAAGAATCATTTCCATAGCAGTTGCACGAGTCTGCGTCTGTGTATTCAGTGCTTGGGTGGCTCCCCCTTCTCACGCAAGGCCTTGTCACAAGCTCCTGTGTCATGAATTGTTGGAACCTGCAGCCTGGCTCAAATGACCACAGGGGTGCCTCTTTGTCAGACATACGCTGTGCATCTGGCGGCATCATGAGGGTAATGTGATATGGCTCACAATTTTAATTTTAACAAAAAAATACATCTGTCAGACTCATTTCAGCTGACAGGATAAATATCATATTTCATTGCCAGTTTGTAAACACCTCACTTTTCATCTCTATCTGACATGTTTCCTGGGTGGTTTACAAATTGAAAAATCAAATGGAATACATTTGGGGCCGAGCATGTATGCTATGTCAGTCAAGTCTGAGGGTAGTGTTTATATGGAGCCGGGTCCGTGCAAGCAATACAGAGGTGGCTGACCAGGAAATGTGACAGTGGCAGATTTGTCTTATGTAGAATTGCCTATAGTAAGAAAACCCAGTAGAGAAAGTGGTTTTGAGACCATTCGGCAGCTGCTTTGGACACCTGGAGCCATTTCTTTTACAGATGAAGATGCATTGTGTCATTGTCTCAGGATCCTCGTCCTGTTGCTTCTCTGGCCACAAATTGTTCTTTACCAAAGATGATTTTATTTCACTGTCTTTGAAAATCATTCTTTATAGGTAGAATATGAAGATTCTCTGAAATGATTCCAAAATGCCAAACTCAAACACTATTGTCCGATTTCTTTACTTGCAACAAGAGAGTAGAAGGGACAGTATTTGTTTTGTGATGTTGGGGCGTTCATCAGGGAGAGAATTTGAGATAAGTAGAATAGCAAATAGAAATAGTGAAATAACTAGATTCCCAGTCCTGGGTTTTTTTTTTCTCAGTCCTGTTATAAACAGTACTGATGGCATTTTATGTGAATATTTATGAGGGACCTTTTAATTAAAGGATCTCAAAATTCTCTTATCACCTGTTAGTTAATTTTCACAATGTCATGCTAGAGTGCGTGCATAGTAATGTTATATGCCAAGTACAGATGGAGAGATCAAAGCCTGCAGATGTTCAGTTACAGAACTTGCCAAGAACCTGCAGTGATCAACTGGGCTTTTTCCAGCCTGGGGCACCAGCCTCTGGTTACCGGTGCCACCCGGCTTTCCCCAGCTTGGTAACCAGTGAGAATCAGGTCTAGGGCTAGCTGGAAAACGACAGGAATGGTGACTTTGGACTCACCCCAACCCTTTCCTGCCATGTGAACTCCCACCTCCCACCCACTCATCTTCCTTTCTTGTCAGTCTGTTTATTACTCTGAGCTGATTTCCACTGACCCCAGAAAAGGATTAATTGATAACTACAGGGGTTAGTAATTATTGACAAGGTCACACTTTTCCAAAAAATATATGCATTTTCAAATGGAAATCTAAATGCCAGCCAGGTCTTCCCCAGGCTTGGCTTCCTGCTGTCCTGCTTCAAATACTCTTTTCCTTCATTGTTAGGAACGAGAGATGCATAAGAACCTTCTACAGAAGTAGCCCTCAAACTACCTCTCCATGGCAGGCTCTGCCAAGCCACCACTTAGCGCAGAGGCTTCTGAGGATGAGGAGGGGAAGGATGGAATGGAAGAAGGACATCCTGTTTGTGTTCCCACAATCCACAGCACTATAACTCTCAAAGGGTGAAACAGTGAACATTGGGTGTACCAATTCTGAAAGCCTAAAGTCCCTCATACACAACAATCACCTATAATATATTTGTGGCCAAACATGTTCTAAAATCCAGTAAAATAAGCCAGGCATGGTGGCATGCACCTGTAGTCCCAGCTATCTGGGAGGCTGAGGTCGGAGGACCCCTTGAGTCTTGGAGTTTGAGGCCAGACTGGGCAACATAGCAAGACCCCATCTCTCAAAAAAATACGTTAAACAAACCAATGAGATAGAAAAACTCTGCAAAATCTTGGGAAGTAGAATTCAAGGAAGTTGTGACAGTTGATAATTTAAGCTCAAGCAAATTTTCTCAAGGGAAAAACCTAGATAAATAATTGACAGTGGGTCAGGTGTGGGGGCTCATGCCTGTAATCCCAGCACTGGGAGGCTAAGGCGGGTGGGTAGTTTAAGCCCAGGAATTCAAGACCAGCCTGGGCAACACGACAAAACCCTGTCTCTACTAAAAATACAAAAAAATTAGCCCGGCATGGTGGCGTGCACCTGTAGTCCCAGCTACTCGGGAGGCTGAGGTGGGAGGATCACTGGAGCCCAGGAGGTCCAGGCTGCAGTAAGCCAAGATCACACCACTGCACTCCAGACTGGGTGACTGAGCAAGACCCTGTCTCAAAAAATAAATAAATAAGTAAATAACTGACAGTGTTGAAGCATGGCCAGGATATCATAAGACAATCGAGATTATTCTTTAGAAATCAGCCTCAAAATACCATTGATTAGATGTTTAAAGCCTAGGGATCTAAACATGTTTTCTCTTACCCACTGTTACTGTAATCCAAAGGCCAACTGAAGTCACCCTTCCACTTAGGATCCAGTAAGATGTGCTGGAACCCTCATTCCGTGTCCTGTGGACATGCCAGGATATCTGGAAGTGCTCACACAACACACCGTCACGGTCACCCCCGGCTTCCAGGCCCAGCCACTGCAGAGGACTCAGCTGTGTCTTTTCTGCTCATGGAGCCCTGCAGTTCTCCTTGATTGCATTGGCAGGAGGCAGTTGCAGTTTTAATAGCAACCTCCAAGCAAGGAACTCAGAATCATCCTCTGTGTCCCCCACTGCCATCACTTTTCTTGCTCACCTCATTCATTAACTCAGCACTTAATTGCTGAGCACGTACTATGTGCCAGGTGCTGAAGATACTGAAGAAAAGAAGCCATCCTCGTGCCTGCTGGAAGCCCTGTCCCTTACCTGCCTTTCGGAGCCATCTCCTTCTCCCATCCCCCTTGCTGTGGACGTCCCCAGTCGCTTATCAAGCCCCTGAGAAACACTCCCAATTGGTATCTGCTCTGACTTGGTGCTGTCCCCCTTTCCCTGCCTCTGACTCTCTCCTCCCTGACAGGTCAGTTATTCTAAACTTCCAACTAGGCCACTGCTCTGCATTAAATCCTCTCAGAGCTCCCCAAGAGCAAATGCCTGTCTGGCTCAGCAGCCTCATCACCCAGAATGCCACCAGGTGGGTTTGTTTGTTTGTTTGTTTGTTTGTTTGTTTTTGAGATGGAGTTTTGCTCTTGTCGCCCAAGCTGGAGTGCAGAGGCACCATCTTGGCTCACTGCAACCTCCGCCTCCCGGGTTCAAGCGATTCTCCTGCCTCAGCTTCCTGAGTAGCTGGGATTACAGGCACCCGCCACCACGCCCGGCTAATTTTTGTATTTTCAGTAGAGACGGGGGTTTCACCATGTTGGCCAGGCTGGTCTCGAACTTCTGGCCTCAGGTGATCCACCCACCTTGGCCTCCCAAAGTGCTGGGATTTCAGACATGAGCCACCGCACCTGGCCCAGTTTTTTTTGTTTTGTTTTGTTTTGAGACAGGGTCTTACACTGTTACCTAGGCCGGAGTGCAGTGGTGCCATCATGGCTCACTGCAGCCTCAAACTCCTGGGCTCAAGTGATCCTCCCACCTCAGCCTGCCTAGTAGCTGGGACTACAGGTGTGTGCCACTATGCCTAGCTAGTTTTGTTTGTTTGTTTGTTTGTTTTGTAGAGACAGAGTCTTGCTTTGTTGCCCAGGCTGATCTCTAACTCCTGGGCTCAAGTGATCCTCCCGCCTCAGCCTCTCAAGTAGCAGGGACACCCACTTAGTTTTATTTTAATTTTTGTAGAGATGAAGTCTCACTATACTGTCCTGGCTGGTCCTGAACTCCTGGACTCAAGTGATCCTCCCACCTCGGCCTTCCAAAGAGCTGAGATTACAGGCATGAGCCACCACATCCAACCTGATTCTTACTCCATGCCATTCAGGAAAATTTGTTGTTTCCTGAGCATAGCTTGGCTTTGTGCTCTTTTTGGTATCTTTTTCTGCTGTTCTCTCAGCCTTCCCCTTCAGATTTCTTCTCATCCATAAGTAATAAGCAAACACCTCCCTTCTGGATTGTCCTACCTGGTGCAACCCACAGTCAGACCAGCAGCCTCACAAGCCCTCGATGGCTTGGTCCCACAGCCCCACTGTAACCATTTGTTCCTGTGACCATCTCATTCATCTTTGAATAGCTCAGGGCCAGGAAAATGGTAATTGTGATAAATTAGTCATTTATTGTAATTCTTCAGTGAATTTCACATCTTGGTTTTAAAAAAAAACACACTCATATCACAAGCCCACATTCAGCTCAGAGACAAATGTTAAATCGGCCTCAACCTCAGTTTCCTCTGCTGAAAAATGAGGATAATAATACTGAATTACAAAGTCACTAAGAGAATTAGCATCTATCTTTGTGGAAGCCATAGTTTCAATCACATCAGAGCATCTCCTTATAGAGCTGCAGTTTGTGTTAGTTCTGTTGTCATCAAAGTTTGCACGCGAAGTTAGCACACTTGGTCTTGAATTATACCCTCTGGACATCTAAGGGATTCATGAACATGAACATGGTGCACCTGCTGCTTCATATCTGTTCCACGAGGTGGATATTCTCTCAGTTAATAAGGGGCAGAGTCAAGACTAAAATCCAAGACTGACTCTGATGCCCATGCTGTGTGGAAACTCCACTGTGCTGAGGGGTCTGTGCTGGCAGGACGTCCTACCATTACCCGTTTTGCCTTTGGCCCACTCCGGCAAACACAGGAAAATACCTCCACCAGAAAGTCTACAAACTAACTTTCCTTCCAAAATTAATAAAATTGATGGCCACCATGAGCCACAGAGAAACTACCTTTAAAGAAAATCAGGCTGCGTGCAGTGGCTCACGCCTGTAATTCCAACACTTTGGGAGGCTAAGGCGGGCACATCACGAGGTCAGGAGTTCAAGACCAGCCTGGTCAACATGGTGAAACCCCATCTCTACTAAAAATACAAAAATAAGCCGGGTGTGGTGGCACGCGCCTATAAGCCCAGCTACTCAGGAGGCTGAGGCAGGAGAATTGCTTGAGCCTGGTAGGCGGAGGCTGCAGTGAGCCGAGATCATGCTACTGCACTCCAGCCTGGGCAACAGAGCAAGACTCTGTCTCAGAAAACAAACAAAACAAAAGAAAAAACAAAAGAAAATCAGAATACAGTAACTACCATTCAGTACAGTTTCCAACAAGCAACAGTGTTAAGTCCTCAGAGTCCCACATGGTGCCCCAAAGGGTGTTGAATGACCAAATGTCCCACAGTTGGCATTACCCAGTGTCAGCTACCATCACAGGGAGAGTTAAGTTGCTACTACACTCTTCCATGCACCTCTCTGCTTGCCTGTTTGGATTAGCTTCTTGAAATGTGTTGCCTTGCCCCTTACTACCTAGGGTTTTGCATCCATTCTCTCATTTAACAAACACTAGCTGAGATTCTATTTGCCAGATCCCAGTCTGGAGCTGGGAAAACTGTAGTGAGCAAAACAGATCTGCCCTCCTGGAGTTTGTAATCTAGTAGGTCCATCATGATAGTTGTGCCATTTAGCCAGATCTTGAGTTCTCCACTGGGGTGCTAACGTCCTCCAAAAGGGCATTTTGGAAATGCTTGAGGTTGTCAAATACAGGAGGTTTCTTTTGGCATTTGGTGGGCAGATGCCACAAGCTCAGCAACACACAACACAATGCATTATCCCTCCTCTTACTTGACTGTCACCCACTGTGTATGCATGTAAGTGAAAAACATTTTTAATCATCTGAGCTTAGAACCTAATTTCATTCCATAGTCTATATTAATATGCATAGTAATTTTAATATATATCCTAAATTACCCTGGAATGCAGCTGCAGTGCAAATTGAGGGAAGATGACACTTTATTTTGTTCTGAACTTTTACCATATGTTATTTTCCATGTCAGAAAATGGCATCTCCAGATATCTCCAAAAGACTTCTTGTATTTGATTTGCTAAAACACTCATCTGTATGAGTCCACATCTGTGGCTATCTCTTTCTGCAGGATTCTATGTGCAGTTGCAACTTTGAGACTACATCATATCTTCCTGGTGTTGTTGTGGCCAAGCATTTATGTCTTGAAATTACTTTCCTTTTATTTCCCCTTTATTTTACAATTAGACACCATATGGATTTCTTAAAGTGATGTGTACATGTAGTTTATATTATCTGTGAATTTCTTTCAGGCTAGAAAAGAGGATTATAAAACACTTGCAATTTTAAAATGGAGTATTGGGTTGGGTGGGGTGTAAGTCACAAAGCTAGATGTTCCTGCCATGGCAACAGCACGCCTTTGCGGGCAGAGGTCCTGCCCATGAGTTTTCGGTTGTAGTCCTAAGATTCTGCATGGGTCCAATCAGAACAAACAGAATGAGAGCCTTGGAGAAGGATCCTGGAGGCCTCCTATTAGGCCAGGATTGCTGGAGTTTGGGGACTTTGAGAAGTCCTGGAAGAGAGACTGGGGCAGCCAGGGCAGCAGGGGGTACCCAAAGGGCTTGGAAAGTGGCTGTTTGCCAACCACTATAAAGGATCATGGCGCCTTAACAGCTGGTGAAGCTGCCCTTGTGCCCTTTGGCTGAATGTCAGCTATAAGCTCAGCCCTCCTGCTGACATGTCTGTTTCCCGTGCAAGTAAACTCTTCAGGCTGTGCCCATAGCTCCACTGGGTAAACCACAGGACGTGTGCTACTAAAAGAAATCTGTTTCTCTTTCATTCTTCTTCTGCCTTGAGCCGGTAGAAACTCAGTGTCATTAACATCATGTCCCAGAAATGTGAGTTTCTGATCCTGGGGTTCTTCTAGCACCCTTGCATTGAACTTGAACAGCTTTTCCCAAGGACTGTCCCCCAACGCCCCCGAGATTGTCAGGGTGCCCCATCTGTTCTCCACCTTTTCCAGTATGTCCCAGAGTCATGTAAGTAAATTGCCTGAGATTCTCAAAAAGAGATGACCTAAGTTTCCACCCCATTCTAAAGGGCCTGCATTGTAAGCATGTCCTTCTTACCGCATATCGTGGGCACCATGTTCTCAGTTCTTTCATCAGCTACAGTGTTTAACTCAGCAATAATTATTCCATTTCGTCCAGCTATCCATGATATGCTTTTTCTTCAGTATTTGAGGTCAGTAAAATTGCTTGAATAATTACAATAATAGCAGCTGTCATTTTTAGTCCTCTATTGTGTGTCAGACATGATGCACATATTGTCTTATGTAATCGTCATCAGAACCTTACAGATGACATAGGAAGAATACTGGGGCTCAGACTAGTGTGAACGATACGGTTTAAACCCAGATGTTTCCTGTTCCGAAGCCAATGCTTTTTTTGTTTTGCCTAAGAGTATTAGCTGTGGGAGCGAGACATATCTGGGTCCAAATCTCAGTTCTAGCCAGATGATCTTGGGCAAGTTACTAAGTATTTCTTGATCTTGTTCCCTCACTCATAAAACAGGGATAATAATGCTAATGTTTCCACCAAAGTTTTATGATGTTTACATAATATATAGAATACAAAGTACAGTGCGTGATTTATAGTAAGCAATCAGTAAATTTTCATTTCTTCCCTCCCCGCAAACTGATCTTAAGATGATAGTCATCCCACAGGACTCTCAGATTTCTGCGGGCTTCCTCGCATGACCTGCTGATGAGGACCAAATAAATCCCATTGTCTATCCAGTTCAGCTGCTCTTGGCCCCAGCCTTGTCCCTGTGTTTATTCTGGAAGGAGTACTTAATGTGCCAGGAGGAAGGAAAGGGTTTGACCTTACTGGTCTTTGCAGGAACTGTGTTCTGTACTTTGCAGTACCCATGTGCGATGCTGGAAAGGTACATCTTAGAAACGCAGAGAAATCTTCTATAATCAACCATGGGAAATGGTTGTCTATTTTTTCTCTCTATAAATTTCCCAACTTCTTGTGATGTTTGCCAGTGGTGGGGTGCATGTATTTTGATTTTAACTTTGTATTTTGGGGTCACCAAAAAAAATCAAAACACAAATAAGTCTATGGGCTGGAAGTCAGAAGGAGCAGAACTGAGGGAAGGTAACTGAAAGAGAAAAACAAGATTGGTGAGGCACCAGAGGGTCTAGCAGGAACATGGAACTGCAGCTGGCAGGCTTTATTCTGTGCTGCCGATCAGCAGCAGGCATATTATATCCTGGACTATGTGCCGGCGTCCAAAGTGGCTGGAATTGAAAGTGAACTTTAGCCTATGCGTGGCTGAATTCAGGTCAGCCAGTTGGGGGGAAAAGCAGCTTTTATCCCTGTCCACTTCCTGATTTCTCCTCATTGATGTTCCATACTCCGTTCTGATCAGCTGCTAGCATGTGACAGGCTGGCTGGATCAAACAGCATCAACCAAATGTTCAGTCAAACGTTGTAGTCAGCTAAATATTTTCACATAAGCCTTTTTTACATTAATAAAATCTCCCCTCCTCCTCTGACCCCTTTGTACTGCTTCACTCCTTTTTTTCATAGTACGATATCCCTAATATGTCTGTTGTTTACTGTCTGTTTACTGCTTGTAAACCCCAAAGGAAAGACCCATTTTCCCCACTTATGTATCGCAAGTCCCTAGGACTATGCCTGGCACCTAGTAGGTGCTCAATAAATATTGTAACAGATAAAAAGAACAAGAAAACATGAGGTCAGAGTTAGTGGATATCAGGCAGAAAAAAATGTTTATGAAGGAAAACAGAGGAGGACATAAAAGACAATATCTGATCATTTTCTTCACGTGTGAATAAAAAATCTGTATCAAAACAAGATAAACTATTACCTTCTTTAGAGAGGTACATTTTATTTCCGATTTACCCAGATCACATTGGACTTTTCAGAAGCTTAATTTTTATTTGTCACTTCAGTGTTAGTTTGTGTATTCATTCACTTGTTCATTCATGCCTGTTACATGACACTATGTTTAGTATAAAAATGCAAGCTAGACCACCAGCATCCACTCATATAACCCAAATAAGCCACTTAAATAGTGCACCTCTCTCTCACCTCAATTTGTTAAGATATGATAGAGATGAAACCAAGGCTAAAGGTTGTTTCTCTCTACAGGCCAACAAGTTTTAGGATATAATGAGTAATTGACCTGGGAAATTAAACAAAAATAATTTCACCGCCAACCACAGACTGTACCCATAATGGAGGCTGGCTGTCTCACAGACTTTTGCTGCTGGCCAGAGTGAATGACTCAGCACAAGTCAACCCCAGGAGAGAAACAATACAGAGCTCACCCCTGGCTGATTGAGGGCCAGAAGCGCCATTCTTGTAGGTGAGGAACAGAGCATGTATACACTGTGTTGTTCTGAATTGGAACTGAATTGTACTGAATACAGGAACATATAGCACATTTATGAATCATGTGTACTGGATTGAAAATGTGAGAAGATGCTCCCAAGCAAAGACACACTGAGGAGTGGAGACCAGAAAGGAACTGAGCTGAGGAGGGGGCAAAAAAAAAAAAAAAGCAAGCCCATTGCAGCTGCACTGCAGATATTACTCATCAGTTGTGGCCCCTGGGAACACCTGGTTGAGGGCAGCCGAAACAGTACGTCTAAATCGGAATTCCTGGTCTTTGCGCTAAAGCCTGCTCCTTCTGCCATTTCCCCCATCTCAGTTGATGGCGACTCCATCCTTCTAGTTGTTCAGGTCAGAGACCAAGGAGTCATTCCTGACTCCTCATTTGCTTTGATACCCCACATCCGGTCTAAAATCTACTTTTCACAATCTCCACTACATTCACTCTGGCCTGAGCTGCCTTCATCTCTTGTCGGAATTATTGCAGTAGTCTCGAATACGATGTCCCTAGTTCTGCGTTTACCCTCCAATAATCTATTCTCAATACAGCAGCCAGAGCGATCCTTAGAAAAGAAAACCACATCATGTTATTCCTCTGCTCAAAACTCCATGGTGATCTCCGCTTTATTCAGGATAAAAGCCAAAATCCTTTCAGCAGCTCCCATGATTGGTGCCCCAACACCCTGTCATTTTCTGTCTGACTTCAAACCCTGGCCCTTTCTCCCTCAGTCGCTCCATTCCAGCTACATGGTTCTGCTTGCTCCTTAAACACTGGAGGCACATTCCTACCTCATGATCTTTGTAGTGGCCGTTTCCTCTCTCTGGGGAGCCCTTCCTCCAGATGTCTACATGGCTAATGCCACTTCCAGATATTTATTCAAATGTCACCTTCTCAATGAGACCTGTGCTGGCCATCCTATTTTAAGTGGGAACCCACCCCCCATATATATTTCTGATCCTCCTCACTAGGTTCTACCTTTTTCCCTCTATGGTTTTTAACAGTTAACATGCTATATAATTTAGTTATTTATATAATTATTTATCTGCGTCT
Source organism: Homo sapiens (assembly GCF_000001405.40). Taxonomy (NCBI): domain Eukaryota; kingdom Metazoa; phylum Chordata; class Mammalia; order Primates; family Hominidae; genus Homo; species Homo sapiens. The sequence continues at coordinate 17,494,673 of NC_000006.12, forward strand.
CTCTCCCCCTGTGATGGTTAATTTTATGTGTCGACTTGGCTGGGCCCTGGGGTGTCCAGATATTTGGTGGAGTATTATTCTGGGTGTTTTTGGATGAGATTAACATTTAAATTGGTAGACTGAGTAAAGTAGATTGCGCTTCCAAATCAGTTGGAGTGCCTCATCCAATCAGTTGAAGGCCTGAATAGAACAAAAGTCTGACCCTCCCTTAAGTAAGAGAGAATTCTTACCGACAGCCTTTGAGCTGGGAAATTGGGTTTTTTGTTTTGTTTTGTCCCCTGCCTTTGGACTCGAATTGAAAGATCGTTGGCTCTTCCTGGATCTCCAGCCTGCCAGCCTTCAGACTTGGACTGGAACTTACACCATTGGCTCTCCTGGGTCTCCAGCCAGCTGACTGCAGATCTTGGGACTTGTCAGCCTCCATAATCACATGGGCCAGATCCTTGTCATAAATAAATAAATAAACATATCCTATTCATTGTGTTTCCCTGGAGAACCCTGACTAATACATGCCCCTTGCCACTTAAACAAAAGAGGGCAGGGACATCAGAGTGCTGTCTGTATTGTTTACTGCTGTACCCCAGCACCTGGACCAGCTCTGGCACATAAAAGTCACCAGTATATATTTATTGAATAAATGAAGAAACAAATGAACCAGCAGGTAACAAAATAACTCTCTTTACCGATAATAGTGAGCACAATTATCTCATTTTATTACACAGTCATGATTTATAAGCTTTACATCTAAGAACTGAGTCAAAAATCAAAGAATGGTCCTTCCAGCACATGCCTCATAGAAAGTAGTTCTGGTTGTACATCACGTTTCATGCTGGATTTATACACACCGTTAGCCACACTTTCCCTTTGGGGTCAATGTCAAAATCCAGGCTCAGCAGTCTACAAGCACTGATAAGGCTTGGAGTCCATGGGATTTATGGCATATGGAGCTATGGGACTCCTCTGGACTTGGAAGTGACCAAAAATCCCCCTTGGACGACAAAGAAGCATCTCAGCTCAAGACTCGAAGATGAAAGTTCATTGGCCGTGAGTGTGTGCTGCAAAAGAAAAAGACTGCAATTTAGTGGCTTTTTTCCTTAAAAAGCCTGCTTTTTCACACAAGTTTAGGTGTGTGAAAGAGAAAGCAAGAAAATACAGAGAAAGAGACAGGAAAGAGACTGTAACTGTCAATGGTGGGAGTTGTTAGAAGTGGGGACAGGGCTGGCCAACAAATGACCTGCAGAAAAGACAGCAACAGAGGACAGAATCCCAGTGCAGTGGGGGGATAGCTATGCCAGCAGCCCATCCAGAGATGTTTATAGCTCCTGAAAGCAACTGCTGTGCATGCGTGTGTGGGTGGGGGGGGGGGGTAAGTCAGGGAAAACAGGCTGCTTTACCTCTGTTAAATGCCCTTGAAAGCATCTCCATGGTTATAAGTGAGACAACCAGAGAGGAAGGGGCAAATGAATACACAGTGAGCAGCCCAGCAGGCCTCCATGAAACCCTGAAGCTACCCCACAGGCCTCTTATAGCAGCATCTCCCTGGGTCTATTCACAGAATACCAGTTCCTTAGAAAACTGTGGGTGAAATTAAAAGCTCCGTGGATCAAAAAGCTTGAAAAACATCAGGTTACGCAAAGTTAAACAGGTTTCTTTAGTATCTTGTTCAGTATTCTGAAGTGAATTGTGGGCCACCAAAAGAGGGGGCGCCATATGCAGAAGCCTCCCAACCCTGTTGACCAGGAAGCACGGCTCATGTTGAGCTACTCACCAAATGAGCTAGTGCTCTATGGGATGCATTGCTCTGTTTTGTTTTTTTTTCTTTCTTTCTTTTTTTGTAAAGATGCAGTCTCACTCTATTGCCCAGGCTGGTCTCAAACTCCTGGGTTCAAGCCATCTGCCCACCTCAGCCTCCCAAAGTGCTGAGAATACAGGTGTGAGCCGCCACTCCCAGCTGTTTGCTCCTGAGAATAACAAACAATGGAATCTTAGGAAGATGATGTTACCCTTAAAAGAGAAAGCAGTTTCCGATTAAGGATCACTGGAGCTAAGTATCAGTGGCTCGGTACAATAATGGCTCATCTACCCTGTGGGATATCTTAACACTCACAGGGGAGTTGTTGAAATTCTTTGCATCTGCTGAGTTTGAGGTGGAAACTGTAGATTTACATCATTTCAGCCACGTTCTACATAAATGAATCTCAGAGAAAAGATCTGGCCATCCCTCTACCATGGGCCACTTAAGAGGAGAGAGACAGTGACCCAGCAAATTCAGTTGACTGGGCTGGGAACTTCAAATGGTGGATTTGGTAGTTTAAACTGAGATTTATCATTTGAAAGTAGAGACAACAGATGAAAACCTATCAGCGTGGTATTTGGCATATAGTCAATGCACATCAAATGTTGACAGAATGAAAAATGAATTGCAGTTCAGAAGAATTTTTTTCTTGCTATTTCAAAGAACTAATTTCTGATCACTATACATTGTCATAGATTTTATAAAGCTGATGAATTCGATTGGTTTCAGCAGTTTTCTCCAATTTTTGTCCCTAGGGATTACTAGTGAAGTCCCTCTGGGTTTAAGTAAAGCTCAAGTGAGACCCTCTGCTCCTCAGCTTTTATGTGCAGAATCTCACAAAGTGAAATTATAGGTGATTATAAAATTCATCGCTGTCAGAAGCCAGATGATACCTCCCTGATAGGGTAAGAGTTGGTATCTTCTCAGCTGAACCAGTAAGCTGAAATAAGAACAAAATACAAAATGAGATTCTTCTTAGCCACCTGATCTGTTCTGTTATACTTACTGTAGACAACTAGGTTAAGCTTTGGTTTTCAACTTAATTTTCTCTCCAAAACGTCTGGTTTCTCTCTGCAGCAATTTTGTATGTCGTTATTTGTCATTGCCTAGTATTGATCCACTACTTCCTTCCTGGATCTCAAATAATTCAGCTAATCCCATGCCCCTGCCATGAATCCAGCATTTTCTGGAACTCATGTTGTCAAGTTCCCTTATACAAGGGAAATACACTAGAGCTTCCTCTGTCTCCCATATTCATTAGTTGGCTGCACACTGATGCATGAATGGAAAAGATATGTTTTCTCTGACTGGACTGTTAGCTTTTTGCACTACCAGTCAAGTATCTATCAGAACAACTGTAATGAAAACTATAAATCTCAACCTGAGGGAACAGTTAATGTGAAGGGTTTTCTTGTTTGTTTATTTTGTTCTGTTTTTATGGTCTCCCAAGCCCTGGTGTGGCATTAAGATTCAGGATATGAGCTATTGTGAGGCTATTGTAACATCGTGGGTCATTGTGTTAAACGTTTACATTTCCATTCAACTTGACTTTTCCTCTCACATAACCTATCCTTCGGAAAAGTGTCAGACATTGACAGCATAGAGAAAATTGTGGCCCACACATCATGTCAACAGAACTGTGTTCTTGTTCTGATGTATAACTTGTAGGTTTTAGAGTGAGCACTCTCTCAAATTCTGCAGCACAAAATCTAGAAATGATGAGATGGGAATCACATCTGTGAACAATGGCAAAGACAAAGAATAGTAAGTGGGAAGTGACAAAAAAACGTGTCTACTGTTCATTGTGTCAGTGGCCCCAAAATCCTAGAGAAGACTTTGAATGATTCTGACAAGTTAAAATATGTTGGTAATGACAACGTAGATTATTATCTATCTGAAGGATACAAAAATGACTTCAGAGAAGGCATTTTACCCTATGATTTGCTGAACACTTTTGCAGAAAAGACATTGTATTAAAAATGCCCAATTTGCAACTGCAAGTGTATTGTTCTACCTTTATAGAGCAGTAGAACAATCTCATGTCAAACTTCAGGGCTGCCCCGGAGGTCTTATTTAAATAGTTCTATGTCCCAGGCTCCAGATCTCTTCCTTTCTCCTGAAGATGTCAGTAAAGGGGCATCGTAATGATGATCCTGGGCCCCCATTAAACATTAAATTAAATTATAAATGGGAGCCTGTCATCATTATTATGTTTTTCTGTATGTCTAAAATAGCTTGTTTTATTTTATTTTATTTATTTTATTTATTTATATTTTTTTGAGATGGAGTCTTGCTCTGTCGCCCAGGCTGGAGTGCAGTGGCACGATCTCTGCTCACCGCAAGCTCCGCCTCCTGGGTTCACGCCATTCTCCTGCCTCAGCCTCCTGATTAGCTGGGATTACAGGCGCCCGCCACCACGCCCAGATAATTTTTTTGTATCTTTAGTAGAGGTGGGGTTTCACTGTGTTAGCCAGGATGGTCTCAATCTCCTGACCTCGTGATCCGCCCTCCTCGGCCTCCCAAAGTGCTGTGATTACAGGCGTGAGCCACCACGCCCGGCCAGCTTGCTTTAAAAACAAAAACTATTACTGAAAAAAAAAATGTGCCAATGAGATTGTTGAAAGATTAGCATTAAAAATTAAAATAAGGGCTTTAAAGTGGTGGCTCACGCCTGTAATCCCAGCAATTTTAGAGGCTGAACCGGGCAGATCATTTGAGGTCAGGAGTTTGAAACCAGCCTGGCCAACATGGTGAAACCCCGTCTCTACTAAAAATACAAAAATTAGCCAGGCGTGGTGGCACACGCCTGTAATCCCAGCAACTCAGGAGGCTGAGGCAGGAGAATCGCTTGAACCCAGAAGGTGGACGTTGCAGTGAGCTGAGATCATGCCATTGCACTCCAGCCTGGGTGACAGAGCAAGACTCCATCTCAAAAAAAAAAAAAAAAAAAAAATTAAAGTAGGAGTTTATGCATGTTAAAAAGCTTCTCCCTGAGATACCACGACAACGTAACTATCCAAAGCAATGCATCCTCTGAAAGACCAAGTCACCAGGTTTTATATTCTTGAAGAATGATTTTTAGATAATATAAGCAAATATAGCTCCGGCACGGTGGCTCACGCCTGTAATCCCAGACTTTGAGAGGCTGGGGTGGGAGGATTGCTTGAGCCCAGGAGTTCAAGACCAGCCTGGGCACAACATACGGAGACCCAGTCTCCTCAAAAAATCAAAAACTTAGCCAGGGCTGGTGGCACATGCCTGTGGTTCCAGCCACCTGGGAGGGTGAGGCTGGAGGATCTCTTGAGCCTGGGAGATTGAGGTTGCAGTGAGCCAAGATTGCACCACTGCACTCCAGCCTGGGTGACAGAGTGAGACCCTGTCATAAATAAATAAATAAATAAATAAATAAATAAAAGCAAATATAGTATATAAGGAATATAAGGAACATAAAGTTTAGCAACCCTAAAATAAGGAATATATATGAACCATCAAGTCTTATAAAGATGTAAAAATATTTCCCAAGGAATCTGTTATTATTCAATATAATGGCAACTGTTGTAAAATCATGTACATGAGTGGTGCTCACTAGGTTTTGCAAACATTTTAAATTGTTTAAATTGTACAAGTGTTTTTGAAAATATCTCCATGGACGTATTCTGAAATCTCCAAAATGTTCCTGGACAGTAAAAAATTTTTATTTAATGGGACTCAACAAGAAGGGAGCTAGCCTAGGGAAATACCTACAATTGCACCAAAGCAAAAGTTAACTCAGTTGAACATTTCTGATTTGTAAAAAATTGCTGCTGACTTTAAATGGTGAAAATAATTGCTTCAATTATTAGAATGTGTCCAAATATATATGTGTGTGTCCAAATATATATATATATATATATATATATATATATATATATATATATTTGGAGACGGAGTCTTGCTGTGTTGCCAGGCTGGAGTGCAGTGGCACGATCTCGGCTTACTGCAAGCTCCGCCTCCCGGGTTCAAGCGATTCTCCTGCCTCAGCCTCCCGAAATACTGTTCCTGATTTGGATAACCTTTGCTTGAGAAAACTTTATTCTTCTTCACCTGTATAATTTATTCTGGCAACTTCCGAATGTGTTTTCCTAAAGCTTCTTCCCTGATTGGAAGGAGGTTTAATATTTTGTGACACATGCAAACTTAACAGCCCCTATGTGAAATATTTTCTACTTTTGAAGGTGTGAAACTGGTTAAAATGTTTTAAAACTTTTCCCTTAATTGCAAAGGAAATGTATGTACATGTTAGAAGATTTAGAATATATAGATAAGCCAATAAAATTAAATAACAGTTCTATGTTGACACTTTTTGATGTATATCTTTCCATACATTTTCTGTGCTGTGCACTCACACACATACACACATGCATCCAAATGGAATAAACTAGTGAAACTTTACACAAAAACACATAAGCCAAAGTAATAATGATTAATATTTGGTAGTGTGGTTTACTAATACATACTGCTTGATATGAGCTTTCTTGGAATTTTAAATGTAGGTGGAACCCAAACCTTTTTCAAAATTTTACTTTAATGCTTTTAAGTTTGAGTTGTAGTGGTAATGCAAATGTCATTACCTTGAAATCATTCTTTCTCAAATGATAGAGTTCTCACAATACACGCCAGGAACGTACTGATGGGATTTTATTTGTGTGCTTGTTTGTTTTCATTGAACTGTTTGAATTAAACTCTTAGAATCATTCTTATGGTTTGAATCGCCATTACTTAAAAAGTAATTATTATTATTTCTGAAAATATCTCCAGTAATTACATCTACACTTGATCTTAGCCAAAAGGCCGAGAAGCAATGAATAATTACATCTACGGGAAAAAAAATGAACACCAACTTTTAGCACTACTTTTTTTCCATGTGGTGGAATGCAGAATGTTTATTGTTTACTTATGTTTTACGTCTGTATTTTTCAGTGTTTCACGAAGAGCATATATTGATTTTTATAATCAGAAAAAGAAATTCGTTAAAAAGAAGTAACAATGACTGAACCATTTTCCACCTGATACAGAACTACATGAGAACCATGGGTTCCAGAAATAACAGGCCTATTTTGTTTTGCTCAGTGATACATCTTTGAGGTCAAACTCCCAGAGTTTGTGCCGTCTCTTACAAAACAGCCTGAGTGGGAATCTGGTTTTCCTTTTTGGGTAAAGTTTCTACAAAGCTTGCTGATAAAACTCATCTTACTTTTGCAAAACAATTCCCTTACTTTGGGAGCCAAACAGAGATGAAGCTGATAACAGGACTCAGTTCTTCAACTTTAAAGCAGAAGCTAGGGTCATAAAGACATGGAGTCCTAAAATACTCTTCCAAAGTACAGTCGCATCCAGCTAAGATAACCCTTGGAAACGTTTGCTGAAAACATGCAGTTTGTTCATGCATCTCTTCCATGTTGGTCCTTTCCACCTTCTGTCACAAGCCACAGAAACTAGGGGAAGGCCAGGGAGCAGGTTCAGCTCATCTTCACCTGAATTCTGAGAAATTATTGAGAATCAAAGAAACCTCAGTGAGACGTTAACAAAAAGTAATCTGAGTGACATCTATGTAAAAGTCATTGCAAAGCACACTAGCTGCTAGACATATCTGGGGAGCTACCACCAATGCACTCCCTTGACAGAAAACCAGGACACCTCTTAGATGAGCTCCTTCTTTAGTGGAAAACCCTTATGTAATTTTAATTGACATCAATGCAAATCAGCCTGTATTGATTGAGTGTGCCTAATATACGCTTAATACTGAAACAAGTTGAAGTACCTCTCATAGACCCCCCATTGACTTTTCGTCTGACATCCCACACAACCAGCTCCAGCTTTGATGGAAGTCACACCATCACTCTAATGTTCTCTTCTATTTTTGATTCCTGCCTTGAAAGTCAGGATGAACTGGTGAAGATAAGACTTCTTTAAAGTACAGGAGAAATCTATTGGCACAGAATAAAAGCACTAATGTTTATTAGAGTTGTGCAAATAGCTGTTGTACTTAGTTCTGTCAACATTGCTTTTTTTTTTAATGATGACAATTCTTCACATAATTGCCAAGCTAAAGCAAAAGAAAACTTTCTCAATCTTTATGATGCTTTCATCAGATAACCAATATAAAGTATCTTCCAGAAGACTCTGTCTCCTCAGACTTTAGAGTTTGTTCTAGGGAAGTTAGAGATAAACAAAGATGGCCTTAATAAATCTCTCTAATGTTATAAATATACAGTTTCTGGTTCTTTTTCCCCTTGGGGCAGTGGGCCAGGTATCATCAACAATACAGATATTCTGGCCTTTCTCAAAAATGTCATTACATTAAGAACATTATGACTTAGCAAATTGTTGGAGAAAATTAGGAAGCTTTTTTTAGTAGTTCTGCCATCATTAAAAATCAGCTGCCTTCTGGGGAAACTGATGCCACACCTTTGATCAGGTGTTGTATTTGGACTGAAAACAATCCCCCAAAGAAGGAGATGTTTGCTTTCTAAAGAATGAAGCTCCAGGGAGGGTATTTAAAACTGATTTTTGGCAGCCATTAACAAACAAGCATGACATAATTGTATTTGGGGCCAGGAGTGTTTAGAGGGGTTTTTGTTTGTTCTATTGTTGAGAATTTGGAGGTAAGGAGTCCCTGAACTGCCATTACCCCTGCATTGGTTTGCTAGGGCTGCCCTAACAAAGTACCACAGACAGGTAGATTAGAAACAACAGAAATTCCTCACAGTTCTGGAGGCTGGAAGTCCAGGATCAAGGTGACGGCAGGGTTGGTCTCTCCCCACGCCTCCTCTGTGTGTGTCTCTGTCTTCATCTCCTCTTCTTATAAAGACACCAGTCAGGCCGGGTGCCATAGCTCACACCTGTAATACCAATACTTTGGGAGGCCGAGGCGGGCAGATCACAGGTTGAGACCAGCCTGGCCAACATGGCGAAACCAAAACCCCGTCTCTTCTAACAATACAAAAATTAGCTGGGTGTGGTGGCGTGTGTCTGTAATCCCAGCTACTTGGGAGGCTGAGGCAGGAGAATTGCTTGAACCTGGAAGGTGGAGGTTGCAGTGAGCCAAGATCGTGCCGGTGCACTCCAGCCTAGGCGACAAGAGCAAAACTCTATCTCAAAAAAAAAAAAAAAAAAAAAGACACCAGTCATATTGGATTGAAGCCCACCCTAATGACCTCATTTTAATTTAATCATTTCTTTAAAGACCCTATCTTCAAATATGGTTGCATTCCCACCATATTTAAGATCCTTTCTCCAAATATGGTACTGGGGGTTAAGGCTTTAGCATATGAATTTGGTTGGGGGGCAGGTGCACAGAGTGCAGTCCCTAACAACTCTGATTCAAGGTCTTTTCACCAAATCCATAAGCCCTTTGCTTTGTAGTTGTCAGAAGGGAAAGAGAGGAGACAGGAAGATATTCATGGCTTTTCCACAAGAGCTGACTAGCTTCTGCAGCAAATGTTTTTGTTTTTCCCCTCCTTCAGTAATGGATAGCTAAAAAGTCCACTGGGAACCTTGAGAGCACTTTGCTTTCTTTCCCTGTATTTCTTTGTTTCCCCCAAACAGAAGTGTGCCTCTGTCCCTCAGCATATGTCAGTTAGGAAACCACTCTCCTTGTGTTTGCATATAAGGGATGGGAAAGAGCTAGTCAGTGAACTCGGCCAATCAGAGGCTTTGTAACTGGCAGATACCTTGGAGAAAACCAGCCACCTGTTGTGCACCCACAGTATACCTGACCCTTTACCAAGCATGACATGTTCTCTCATTTACTCCTCCTAACATACCTGTGAAGCAGGTACTGTTGTCAACCCTAGCTTGCAGATGGGACAAGGGAATCTTGGACAAGTGTGGTAATTGGTGTAAAGTCCCAGAGCTGAGTACACTGTGGAGCAAGGATTTGAACCCAAGAAGTCTCATTCTAGAACCTTTGCTCTTAATCTCTTCTAACACCTTTCCCTAGTCTTATTGGTAGAGAAGAAACCTGTATGTAGAGAACTAACCATATTTTTCTCAGCACCCAGTATCGAGAATTGTCTCAGGGCCTCCCCGAAGACCTAGCTTCCAGTTCCAGCTCCACTAATCATTGCTAGCTGGTCTTGACATAGTCAATTAACCTCTCTGAGCTCGTATTCCATATGTAAAATAGGAGAATTGGATTACGGCCATGTTTCTCAAACTTTTAGGCTAGATCCATAAAAAGAAATACATTTTATTTGGCAACCCAGTACACACACAAACACACACACACACACTTCATAACCAAAACAAGTGTTTAATACCAAAATATCCATCCTTATTACATGTGAATGCCCTCTGATATTTTCTATTCTAATCTATTTTCATGATTTTTAAATATTAATTGTGACCTATTCTATTGGATTTGTCAAAAAGCTGAACTAGGTGACCCAGTTTAGACTCCTGGAATCCTAAAATCCTGTTAATCTATATAGATGTCTGTTTGGAGCTTCTCATATCTTGAATGCATATTTATTTTAAACAAATGAATATCACATATTACAGGGGACAACATCCTTTTTACCTCTGGTATGAGTTAACTGCATCATGGAAATAATAATAATTACTTCTATTTATTGTGTACCTCCCATGTGCCAGGGCTTTAAAATGCAGTATCTCCTGTAGCCTGTAGGTGGTAGGTATTCTCTCTGATTTATAGATGAGGAAACTAAGGATCTGATTAAGTAATTTGCTCAAGGCCCCATAGGCACCAAAGCTGTTTGAACCAAGGCCATTCTAATTCCAAAGCCCTTACATTCAACATTCTTTTCAGAGGAGGGTATATAAAGGGGTTTAGAAGGAGAGGTAAAGTCTAAAAGCTACCGCAGCTGCACATAATTTATTTCCTAATAGTTTGCTGTCCGTGGCAGAAATGACTGCCCTCTGGGGTGTGAAGCCACCGCTGCAGCAATGATTGAAATCACCTGGGAAGCTTAAACAATCGCCCTGCCCTCACCCAGGCCACCCCCGGACCCGTTAAATCAGAATTGCTAGGGGTGGAACCCAGGCCTTAGTGGTTTTTAAAAACCCCAAGGTGGTTCTAATATGTAGCCAAGGCTGGGAACCATTGCTCTGAAATCTCAGAAATTAAAGAGCTGTAAGGAGCTTTTCTATTTTACCTCCTGCAAACAAGATTTACTAAAATACTGCTTAAAGCTCTTTAACTGCTTCCACAGAGCTGAAGTACAGGACCTTTGCTGTTTCTTTGGAGCACACACAAAAATCTGATAAACAACCTTGTATCTGCTTTTCAACACACCTAGAGAAATTAGAGAATGCTAAGGATGTAGATGAGGAGATGTTTAAAGCAACTGTGGTATTCTGGAGAATCTAGCTCCGAGATACTTTATAACTCAGCTCATGTCATTTTGTTTTTCATTTCTTATTTTTACTTATTTACATATTTTTTCAGACAGAGTCTCACTCTGGCACCAGGCTGGAGTACAGTGGTGAGTCACAGCTCACTGCATCTCAAATTCCTGGGTAATTCTAACTCTCCCAGGATTGGAGTCTCCTGAGTAGCTGGAACTACAGGAGCACACCACCACAGCCACTTCATTTTTCACATTTTTTTTTGTAGAAGTGGGGTCTTGCTGTGTTGTCTGGGCTGGTCTTGAACTCCTGGCCCCAAGCGATCTTCCCGCCTAAGCCTCCCAAAATGTTGGAATTACAGGTATGAGCCACCACGCCCAGCCAGCTCATCTAATTCTGAAAGTTATTTTTGTATGAATGGAGAAGTCGGTTGCTGAATTAGCAGAATTGAGTGTGACCTGTAGCCATAGGCGAAGTGGACTGGGGACAATGTAGAATGCCAACAAAGACTAAAGTCACTGTAAATATGATAAGCCATCACATTTTCTTAAAAAGGGCTGGGTGTGGTGGCTCACAGCTGTAATCCCAGTACTTTGGGAGGCCGAGGTGGGTGGATCATTTGAGGTCAGGAGTTCAAGACCAACCTGGCCAACCCCACCTCTGCTAAAAATAAAATTATCTGGGCGTGGTGGCAGCCACCCGTTGTCCCAGCTACTCAGGAGGCTGAGGCAGGAGAATTGCTTGAACCTGGGAGGCGGAGGTCGCAGTGAGCCAATATCGCGCCACTGCACTCCAGCCTGGGACAGAGTGAGACTCCATCTCAAAAAAAAAAAAGGGTTGCGGGGGAGGCCTCAGTGAAAGATTTCCACTTTTTCACATGGATTATGGCAACTGTGGTGAAACCAGGAAGCCTCTCCCAAAGCATTTTCCACAGGAATAGGATGAAGTCATTTTACTAACCTTCCGGTCTTACCCAAATTTATACCAGGATTATTGCAGTGTGTGATCTATTTGCCATTTGAAATATAAATGATCAACACTCAATTTCACTGTCTTCCATGAAGGAGTCTTCAAAATGGGGGCTGTGCCATACTGCTGGGTTTTTTCCACATCTCAAGCCACAGCATTAATAATGTTAAAAATATCTGCAATTTTCATACTTCAGACAGTAAAAGCACGGCATTACCATAACCAAGAACAAATGCATGCTGTTCTCAAAGATGATTATATGTTTCTTTTAGACCCCTTAACAGACGGCAGGTCCTGAATTCTCCTGCTTAGGCCAACATGGATAGAGGTGCTATGCGTCTGCTCTGTCTGTAGTAAAAGCCCCCGATGTTTGACTGCTTACAGAATGACGTGGCCGCACTTCTGAAACCCATATCGGAAAAGATTCAGGAAATCCAAACTTTCAGAGAGAGAAACCGGGGGAGTAACATGTTTAATCATCTTTCGGCCGTCAGCGAAAGCATCCCTGCCCTTGGATGGATAGCTGTGGTGAGTCCAGGTGCAATGTTGCCTCTTCACCTCATCACACGTTTGGAGTATTTAGGAGAACTAGTAGCTTAGCTACCTTCACGCTCCTTGCACTGAAGGAAGCTTCTTCCTGGGCTGAATGCATCCACTTTCTCCTACCCTGTTTAAAGTTCAAGCTTTCTGTTCTGAGATACTGTAGAAAGTGTTTTTATCAACCTTTACAGAGCAACATGTGCCTCCCACTTTCAAGTCCACGCGTCTCCATTGCTTTTCTTCTTCTTTAAGGCATTTTCTTTCTTATCCTATTTTTTTTTCCTTCTATGCTTGGGTGACGGTCCTGTTTTCTCAGTCTCCCAAACCTGGTCCTTATGTCAAGGAGATGAATGACGCTGCCACCTTTTACACTAACAGGGTCTTAAAGGACTACAAACACAGGTACGTACCTTCCTTTACTCACCAAATTTTCAGTTGATTACTTGTTAGACATTTGTCCCTAAAACTCAGTCCAGTTAACTACTGATTCCTTTCCAAGGCTCTACACTAATGTACTATAAACTTTAAAGGAAAATCTAATCTTTGCAGATAAAGTCAAGTGGAAAGTGGAATCAATTATCCAGATAATATATGGGTTTTAGAAAGTCTGCCTCAGTTCTCTCATAATGAATAAACTCTCCCCACTTGAATGCATGTCACTATCTTATGTATTCCCACAATAATCAGAGAGCTTGGTGATGGAACAACCCTATATGGTACAGAACCTTTACATGCATCAAAGTAGAGTTGGAGGGTGAGCTATAGAAGAGAGGAGGAATCAGGAAATGAAGTGTGAATCAAGAACAGAAATGAGGTGAAACAACAAACCAGAGCAGTGAGAAGGAAACCAGAGACTCAGTTAATATGAAATACAACTGGGGTGTACGCAGAGACACCTGGAAGACTAGCAGCCATTCAGAGTGCTGCTGAAAGTATAGATGAGTCTAAACCAAGGGGCTTTGCCTGGTGAACCAGCGTGAAAGGACCTTGCGTTCGACAGCACAAGTAATAGATCCCAGAGTAACTTAAACTGGAGTCAGAATAGAAAATAGGCCCAAACGGAGACATGGCAGAGCTGAAGAAATATCCAGGAAAATGTGTCCTAAACTATTTAAAGGATATCATGAGATTCCAACCCCTCTGATAAGGTCGTGCCTTGTACTCTAAACAGCTGGCTAAATGTGATGTGGCTGGTGCCTAGGAACTAAGGGAAGGGATGAGGCAAATATAAGAGCAACAAGGTTCTACCTGCTTCTGGCCCTGGACTCAAGAGTGGATCTCCCTCTGAGCTCTTAGATGGCAGCAACAGAAGTGACCATTGGTCAGCAAATGCAGAGGCACCTGGGGACGTCTCATGTGTTGACCCAGACTGTTCAGGTGGAAGGAAATTAAAGAACCTGCATTATTGGATTATTGCTTCAATTCACCTTCTTTTTTTTTTTTTGAGATGGAGTCTCACTCTGTTGCCAGGCTGGAGTACAGTGGTGCGATCTTGGCATCTTGGCTCACTGCAACCTCTGCCTCCCGGGTTCAAGCGATTCTCCTGCCTCAGCCTCCCAAGTAGCTGGGACTATAGGTGCGCACCACCACGCCCAGCTAATTTTTGTATATTTAGTAGAGACGGAGTTTCACCATATTGGCCAGATGGTCTCAATCTCTTGACCTCGTGATCCGCCCACCTCAGCCTCCCAAAGTGTTGGGATTGTAGGCATGAGCCACTGTGCCTGGCCTCAATTCACTCCTTTATTTTACTAATGCAGATCTGAAAATTAGAACCAGAAGAAAAGGGTCTACAACAATATAAGACAAATTTTATATGGAATATAGAAAAATTGCATAAAATACATAAATAAATACCTAGTATACTTCCAGGCCATTAATTAATATTACATATTCAAAATTTTCATCACTTTTTTTGTAGATTTTTTTATTTTTAAAAATATTGAGTAGATACAAAAGAATATTTATAAAATACACACGAGATGTTAAGGATTACAATATAAAAAAATACCTATACATCCATCCCTCAAGTTAAGAACTATGTAACAATATTTTTTTACTATAAAAAGCAGACCAGGTGTGGTGGCTCACTCCTGTAATCCCAGCACTGTGGAAGGCTGAGACAGGTGGATCACTTGAGGTCAGGAGTTCATGACCAGCCTGGCCAACATGGTGAAACCCTGTCTCTACTAAAAATACAAAAAGCCGAGCGTGGTGGTGGGCACCTGTAATCCCAGCTACTCAGGAGGCTGAGGCAGGAGAATCACTTGAACCCGGGAGGCGGAGGTTGCAGTGAGCTGAGATTGTGCCACTGCACTCCAGCCTGGGTGACAAAGTGAGACTCCATCTCAAAAAAAAAAGGAGCCATATCCAGCAATTCCACTCCTAGGTGTATTTCCAAAAGAACTGAAAACATATGTTCACCCAAAATCTTGTACACAATATTCATTGCAGCATTATTCATAATAGCCAATAGATGAGAACAACCCAAATGTTCATCAGCTCATGAATGGATAAATAAAACATGGTATATCCACACAATAGAATATTATTTGGCCATAAAAAAAAAGAATGAAGTATTGATACTTCATTCTTTTATTCGGGCAGCAGCATGGATGAACCTTGAAAATATTGTGCTAAGTGAAAGAAGCCAGGCACAAAGACTACATATTGTATGATTACATTTATGTGAAATTCCAGGATAGTCAAATCTATAGAAAGAGAAAGTAGATTAACAGTTGCCTAGGGCTGGAGAAATTTAGGGAAAACTTAAACTTTTTAAAATTTAAGTTTTTTTTTAAGTTTTTAGTTTAAGTTTTTAGTAATGATTCCCTTTTGGGGAGTAATTGCTAATGGGTGTAGGGTTTCTTTTGGGGGGTGATGAATTATGTTCTAAAATTGATTGTGGTGGTGATTGCTCAACTGAGTGATAACTCTGCTGAGCTAAACTATGGAATTGCACACTGGAAATGGTTGAAGTGTATGGGATGTGAATTGTATTTCAATAAAGCTGTTTTATTTCAAAAAACAAAAAGAAAAACAAACAGCCATTGTATTCCCCTCACAGAATTTAGTCGTTCCATGTTGCTTTTGGGAAGAGGAGCTTTAGCAGACAGAACGCCGAATTCCAGGGTCTTCAGTGCGCCTCTTTTCCTCTTAGGGGCTCTGCCCACCCCGAGAAAACTTTGGTTAAAACAGTTGTGCTCAGTTACAGACTTTTTGCATCAAGGCAATTGTGCCCAATGATATGCCTCCAAATGTTGCCGTGTTGTATTAGAGACTTTAGAACTGTGCGGCACGCATGAGAAAGGCATCAGAAATGCAAGATGGTCTGTTCTTCTGACATAAAAATAACATTTCAGAAAAGAGCAAGTTTCAATTCCCAAACCTGGATATCATATGACAGCATGAACATACACCCATGGTGACTTCTTTTGTTCCAGATATACAGACACACACCTACACATGCCAGTTCAGGACAGCTCAAGCACTACCTAGGTTTCTGCCTTTTTACCTTCCACCCTTGGAGACTATTTTAATTAGTATCTCAGTTCATCAGCTCCTGTCCTTCTCCCAGTCCCTCCTTGAGTATATGTTGGGGCTGTGGGTGTGAGGGGTTCTCCCCAGGTAGCAGCATAGTCAAAAGGGTTGGGCTTTTCTACATGCTTTTTGTTCACAAAGAGGGTTCAGTATTTGCCCCTCAGTGTTAACTCTAGCAATTAAGTAGAAAATGTACTTCCAGTAGTACCAAAGATGACTCAGTTAAGCTCAGTGGACTACCTCAAGACTGTACAAGAAGCCGAAGAAATGCAGCTGGAAGTGCAAATGCATTCGTTTTACTGCTAGGAGTAGTCAAAGCACTCCCAGGTCACCCTTGAGCTTCTGAAAGCGGACTAAGCAGCATACTCCACACCATGCAACACCCATTTACCGGTGGACTCAAGCCCGTGGTGCCGTCTCTGTGTCGCAGTCATTTGTGCGTCACTGCTGCCCACTGGGCAGTAGGACCGTAGGTAGAGGAGTAGAAAGGCAGACTTCCTTGAGGTTTAAACAGGACTGTGAGCAGTGAAATCTGTATCTGTGCAACGCTTACCACCAGCTTGACTGCTCATTGGCTGTTTTTCTCTTTCTTTTTTATTTTTTTTGATACAGAGTCTCGCTCTGTCACCTAGGCTGGAGTGCAGTGACACGATCTCAGCTCACTGCAATCTCTGCCTCCCGGGTTCAAGCAGTTCTCCTGCCTCAGCCTCCTGAGTAGCTGGGACTACAGGCATGCACCACCACACCCAGCTAATTTTTTTGCATTTTTAGTGGAGACGGAGTTTCGCCATGTTGGTCAGGCTGGTCTCAAACTCCTAACCGCAAATGATCTACTCACCTTGGCCTCCGAAAGTACTGAGATTATAGGCGTAAGCCACCCCGCCCGGCCTGGTTCTTTCAATATATGAATACAGCAAGTCATTTATTTTAGCTTTATAGAGGTGTGGTCTCTCTGAGTCATAATCATTAAAATTCACATTCCCCTACCATAGCTTCTTCCAGAGTATATGAAAACTGAAGATAGGTTTGCAGCTCCTAATGTGTATTTGGGTCCTGCTCAATTTGTTACCCCTTAAAGACTGATTTCAGGTAAAAGGGCACCATACTCTTAGTCCTTATTACAAGTTTTGCTAGAACGTTCTTCAAGTCAAAATAATACTGCATTGGTTAAAAAAAAAAAAGAATTTGCCCATATAGACTTGAATTTCATCCACTGTTAAATTTTTTAATGGAAAATATACTGAATCAGACATGGTGGCTCATGCCTGTAATCCCAGCTCTTTGGGAGGCTGAGGAGGGAAGATACCTTGAGGCCAGGAGTTCGAGACCAGCCTGGGCAACATAGTGAGACCTCCATCCCTACAAAAAAATTTAAAAATTATCTGGGCATGGTGGCGCACATGTAGCTGTAGTCCCAGCTACTTGGAAGGCTGAGGTGGGAGGATCACTTGAGCCCAGGAGGTTGAGGCTACAGCAAGCTATGATCTCACCATTGCACTCCAGCCTGGGTGACAGAGCAAGACCCTGTCTCTAAAAAAAAAAAAGAGAAGAAAGTATATTGAATGTCAACATGCTATTTCTATAATGTCCACAAACATACATGTGTGTTGTATGTACATACACATATAAACATAGACATATGTGTGTACATTTATATTGAAGTAATGTTCATGCTCTAATAATAGCTATGTGTATACTGCTTCCTATGTGCTAGGCACTGTACTAAGACCCTTATAAGACCCTACAGACTTAGGAAACTAACAAGAGAGACCGTTGGAGCTACACTTAGTTTTTGAGTTTTGACTGTGAAGGTGAGGTAAAGCGACAATGAGATTTTTCATACATTTGATGAATATATCAGTACATCTAAAAATGTAGAACAAAACCACACTCACATTTTTTCTATTTGTGGAGTGAATAATTGTGACTTCAGTTCCCAATTTCACTCCTTCTAAATGGCATGCCTTAATACAATAGGATTCTAAACATGCTGGTGGTACTTTAGGGCTTTTCAAGGAAAACAAAATATGTCTAGAGACAAGTCATTATTACAAGAGCTTTAATAATAGAGATTTCCATTCATGATTATCTTCAGATTAATGGCCCAGGAACATAATTAAATTTTTCTTAACTCAAATGTCATTATTTTTGCATTTACCTTGACTTCTATAAGTGAGAAAAAATATATTATAGGTAAAAATTGCCGAAAGGAAATGCAACTATTTTTACCTATCTATAAGTTTAATATTTCTAACAATTCTTTCAATCTTGTATGTTAATCCCATTATAAAAGGTAAGCATTTTACTAGCCCTTGGTTCAATAAAATAGAGATAAAAATACTGGTGATGCCTTGCCTGGTTTGTATTGTCATTCAAAGTATTAAATTAAGGGAATTTAAGTAAATGTCCCTTTAGAAGTAAGGGGTGTTACCTGTTTGTAAGAGATCAATTTTCTTCCTATACCAACTTCTTTGTCAGTCATAATGGCTAAAATTCTCCAATTTGGTTATACTTTTAACCAAATAATTCAACAGAATTATTAGAAAATGAACCCAATGACTTTTTTTTTCTTTTTAATACCATTCTCATTCCTGGGAGTATATTGTCTCTCATTTTGCATCAGAAGCAGTGCAGAAAGAAACAGTCTCCCCTCCACGCCCCCGTCACGTGAGGGCTGACTGGGACAGTGCAAGGACACCCTACTCAAGTCAGCTTAGCTCTGTCGGGTCCCCTCTCTGTGGTACCTCTGCTCCATACCCGGAGCTCAGGGCATCCGGCCACCTGCCGCCTCCCCTCAGGAGAGTACTGGGCCAGCTTCCTCCCAGGGTTCCCTTCTGAAGCCCTTCACGGTGCCTGGGTTGCAAGGACGATTGCTCCGGGCTCCAGGGCCCCTAGTCACTAGATAACCATGTGCCCCCACAATTTTTTTAAAATTTTATTTTAGATCCTAACTCTGCTTTCTTCAACCCTCTTTCACAACAAAGTGATTTGCGTCATGTGGATTGGGTGAAGTCATATTTGAACATTTGGAGTGAACTTCAAGCATACATCAAGGAACACCACACCACGGGCCTCACATGGAGCAAAACAGTGAGTACGAGGCCTTCCTCCACGTGTGTAAAAAAAGGCCATGACTATATATACACCCTGTGGCCCAGTAATCTCACACCTTAAAACTTACCTCAAGGAAAATGTAAGATTAAATGTCCATGTGGAGGGCCAGGCGCGGTGGCTCACGCCTGTAATCCCAGCACTTTGGGAGGCTGAGCTGGGCAGATCATTGAGGTCAGGAGTTCAAGACCAGCCTGGCAAACATGACAAAACACTGTCTCTACTAAAAATATAAAAATTAGCCAGGCATGGTAACGCACTTCTGTAATTCCAGCTACTCAGGAGGCTGAGGCATGAGAATTGCTTGAACCCAGGAGGCAGAGGCTGCAGTGAGCCGAGATTGCACCATTGCACTCCAGCCTGGGCGACAGAGCAAAACTCTGTCCAAAAAAAGCCCATGTAGAAACGGTTTATGGAAATGTCATTTGTTGTAGGAGAAATTTCGGAGCTCCCTACATAACATAGAAAAGAAATAGAAAAGAAAATGGCTGGCAGGGCGCAGTGGCTCTCACGCCTGTAATCCCAGCACTTTGGGAGGCCGAGGTGGGCAGATCACCTGAGGTCAGGAGTTTGAGACCAGCCTGGTCAACATAGTGAAACCCCATCTCTACTAAAAATACTAAAATTAGCTGGGTGTGGTGGCACATGCCTGTAATCCCAGCTGCTTGGGAGGCTGAGGCAGGAGAATCACTTAACTCGGGAGGCAGACGTTGCAGTGAGCTTAGATCGTGCCACTGCACTCCAGCCTGGGCCACAGAGTGAGACTTCATCTCAAACAAACAGCAACAACAACAAAAAAGGAAATGGCTAAGTCGTCCATGGTAAGAATGCAATGAAACACTCTACAGCCATTAAAATGCTTTACCAGTTAATGTTAAGTGATAAAGTCAATTGCAAAAGTTTATGAGTATTAAGATGATGTATATGTTAAGAAATTGCGTGATAGAGGCTGGGCACGGTGACTGTAATCCTAGCACTTTGGGAGGCCAAGGTGAGTGGATCACCCGCGGTCAGGAGTTCGAGACCAGCCTGTCCAACATGGCAAAACCCCATCTCTGCTAAAAATACAAAAAACAGCCGAGCGTGGTGGTGCACGCCATAATCCCAGCTACTCAGGAGGCTGAGGCAAGAGAATCGCTTGAATCCGGGAGGCGGAGATTGCAGTGAGCCAAGATAGTGCCACTGTACTTCAGCCTGGGTGACAGAGCAAGACTCTGTCTCAAAAAAAAAAAAAATGTGTGATAGAAATTGAAGGGAACAAGAAGGTTTGAAGACAGGTGTACATGGAAAGCTATGCAGCCATAAAATAGAACAAAATCATGTCCTTTGCAGCAACATGGAAGCTGCTAGAGACCACTATCCTAAGCTAATTAACTCAGGAACAGAATGCCAATACCGTGTGTTCCCACTTACAAGTGGAAGCTAAATAATGGGTACACGTGGACATAAAGACGGGAAAAACAGACACTGAGGACTGCTAGAGATAGGATGGAGGGAGGAGTCCAAGGACTGAAAAACTACTTACTGGGTACTGTGCCTACTACCTGGGTGACGGGATCATTCACACCCCCAAACCTCAGCATCATACAATATACCCACGTAACAAACCTGCACATGTATCCCCTGAACCTAAAGTAAAGGTTGAAATTATTCCAAAAAAAAGAGAACAAGATAGATGTCATTTTAATGAGGTGGAATTATGATTAAAATGTCCTTTAAATGTTCTTAACTTCTCTTTTAGTGTTCTAAAGTGTATTGAATAGTATTTTTGAGTACCTAGGCGATCCTAGGACTTTGGTATCTTAGTAGCAGCATAAGATCACAGCCTGTGTCTGTTCCCACTTTAATTCCCATGTGAGATGTTGCGCTGACCTTTGCCCCTTTCAGCTTTATCTCTCACATCCTCTCCCATGTCTCACCGTGTGTTCCAGCAACCCCTCACTCCTTGTGGTATCCTGAACAAAGCCAGTGCTTGGATTGCACCAAATGAAATTGATGTTGTTTCAAAATTTACCGAACTCATATTGTGTAACCTTTATTGCAATGTCCTGAACCTATATCCTGCTGTATAACCTAATTTCCCCCGGGGAGGTACCCCTACCTCTTCTGCAAGACTCACCTCACACATCACCTCTTTAAGAAACTTCCATTGATCTCCATCAGCTCCCCATCTGGGTTGACTGGCTCTGCTCTCTGTCTGCCTCCTTTGCATCTTGAGTATACCTCAGTCATATCCTTAGCATGTGGAATGGTGCTTTACTGTGTGCTTTTGGGACTCTCCCACTAGATTGGAAACTCATCTCTTGTCTCCAGCCCCTAGTATAGTGCCTGGCACAGAGTAAGTGCTCAGTAAATGGTTTGAACTAAATGATCATGAGGGGACTCTTAGAATGTTTCTTGCCCTTTTGAATCTCTGCACTTGCTTTTCATGGAAACTCCTTTCCATTAGAAATTAATGTTACAGTGGACTTAAGGGACTTGAGGGAAAGGTTGGGAGGGGGCTGAGGGATAAAAGACTACAAATTGGGTACAGTGTATACTGCTCAGGTGATGGATGCACCAAAATCTCACAAATTACCACTAAAGAACTTACTCGTGTAACCAAACGCCATCTCTTCACCAAAAACATATGGAAATCAAAATAAAATAAAGAAATTAATGTTAACTTGAATGAAACAGCTTCTTTGTGAATTCCATTCAGAGGTAAAACTCACTGTCCTGAAAGCAGTACCCCAGCACCCAACCCTCCATGCTGGATGTCCCTGTCAGTATAGTAAGCAGGCTTCATGCCAAAGGAGAGTTTGTGGTTTTTCAAGAGAGTGTGGGGCCTTCTACATTTGTTTTCCAACACTTTTACAAATGTTAACACGACCCTTCAAGACTGATGTTTCTTTTTATATTCTACTTCGCCTATTTTCTCCATAGCACTGAAATGCACAGTGCAAGATACAACTAAGCGGATTGTTTTTTTTTTCCTAACCACAACATTGTGACTTTTGAGAAGAGAATTCAAAAACATGTGAAGGGTTTTAATAAGTAAGGGTATGTGTGGATATGGATGGGTGTTTATGTAGACTAATTGGAATTATTTTTTATCGATTTCCAATGAGATAGTGTTTTGTTGTACAGCCATGTATCATAAAGAGAAAGTGTCACATCTTTGCCATGGTGATAGATCATTATTAGAGAACAGTAAAATGAAAATCAGGAGCCCTTGGCTCTATTATTATTTCATGGTAGATAAAGGCCAGAGGAATGAGAATCCATTTATGGAAAATAGTGTCAACAAATGCTAGCCTGTTAATTCTCTAATGGTGCCCATGGAAAATGAATAGAAAATTACTTTTAAATGGTTTGAATACCTTTAATGCAATGTGCAAAGCTGAGTAATTGTGTTTATGAATATAAAAGAGAATTGATTATTAATTACAGAAAAATATAAATGTAGTTGTCTTCCTTTGTTCTAAAGTGAATACTTATTATGTTCAAGCTTCACAAAACAATACTTGCTCTTACTATGTACAACACATTCAGATATTTTATTTTTTATTTCATTTTTTATAAAATTCTGGCTGAGACCCAATAAATTGATTTCATGACCCCACTAGTGAGTCATATCTCACATTTTTTAAAATGTGTTATAAGCTAGGTGTGGTGGCTCACGCCTGTAATCCCAGCACTTTGGAAGGCTGAGGCAGGTGGATCACCTGTGGTCAGGAGTTTGAGACCAGCCTGGCCAACATAGCAAAACACTGTCTCTACTAAAAATACAAAAATTAGCCAGGCATGGTGGCGGGCACCTGTAATCCCAGCTACTTGGGAGGCTGAGGCAAGAGAATCGCTTGAACCCGGGAGGCAGTGGTTGTAGTGAGCCGAGATCGTGCCACTGCCCTTCAGCCTGGGCAACAAGAGTGAGACTTGGTCTCAAAATAAATAAATAAATAAATAAATAGTTATAAAACGTGTTACATTTATACAAAATAAATATGATCCATAGAGCACATCAGGCATCATGGATTGCCATGACAGCTGTTATTTATATTATACATATTATGTGCTCACATAATATGCCAGGGGAATATTCTATTCAAAATGGTAAAAGCAAAGCATCTACTTCACTTCTCTAATGGAAGAGAAAATGATAAAGTTTTGGTCAGATATTAAAAATGATTAAAAATCTTTTGTCAAGCTTTAAAACATATGCCTAGAAATATATTTCCTGATTTTTTATCTTATTCTTCCAAGGTTTGGGCAGCTATTAAAAAGTATATTATAACAATTATATTTTTGAATTTTAAAATCAAATTTCTTTTAAATTATTAAAAACGACTTAAAGATTCCAAAGCATAGTCCATAGCATAAATCAAGCTAATTTCTCCTCTCTGACTGTGGCCTGTCGACATTCCAGCAAAATGGAGGATAAACAGTTATAGCCAGAGTTGCAGCATTCTTGCAGAGAAGAGAAAAGGACTCCTAGAATCATCTGATTGAATGGTCTTTGGGAGGAAAAAATAAAGCAAGACCATTTCATTTGTTTGCCCACTGATCACAACTCTGTAAAAACTATGTATTTATAAAATGATAAATATCATGAAAGACTATAGAAAGATGTGGTGTTGATGTTTGTGGACACCACAGTATTCAGAGATTTTTTTTTTAATTTAATTTTTTTGTTTTTTTGAGACAGGGTCTCACTGTGACACCCAGGCTGGAATGCAGTGGCACAATCATGGCTCACTGCAACCTTGACCTCTTGGACTCTAATGATCCTCCTGCCTCAGCCTCCCGAGCAGCTGGGACTACAGGCCTGCACCACCACACCTGGCTAATTTTTTTATTTTTTGTAGAGACAGAGTTTTGCCATGTTGCC
The DNA here is from genome assembly GCF_000001405.40 of Homo sapiens. Lineage (NCBI taxonomy): Eukaryota > Metazoa > Chordata > Mammalia > Primates > Hominidae > Homo > Homo sapiens. Next base: position 17,518,846 of record NC_000006.12, read on the forward strand.
CAGGGTGGTCTAGAACGCCTCAGCTCAAGGAATTTGCCCACCTCGGCCTCAGAAAGTGCTGGGATTACAGGCGTGAGCCACCACATCCAGCCCAGAGGTTTTTCAAAAAAACCCATTCCATCTTAACAGACACAGTCCATTGCACAAAACTCCTACTTGCACCGTGAAAAGTTTATGACGACTTAACATCTCAAGTACTTTCAGTAATTGTTGTTTTTTTCTATTTTCAAATTGGATTTTGAGATTTGCACTCTGTGGGGTTTTTAGTGACTGACAGCCTGCTGTTTGAGACCTGGACTGTCCAAGGGCACGTGGCTCTACAAAATCATCCTTCCCTGAGTTAACAGTTGGAGCTGAAAGTCCCTGATCCCATCTCCTAACCTCTGCCTCCAGACCGCAGCTGTGTCAGGCAACTGCTGCCCTGTTCAGTTGTCAGGGTGAAATGCCAAACTTTGAGACCAGCGATTTGAAGAGAGTCTACGTGTGTGTGCAAGTGTGCCGGGTGGGGTGGGGTGAGTTGGGTGGGAGGAGGCAGCTGTGGAATAATCTGTCTGGAATGTCTTCTTACATTTACCATGGTAAATGGAATCTTGTCATTTCTATGAGCTTTTTTCCAACTTATTAAGACAGCTGTCAACTAGAAAGACCCCACACCAGAAACTAACTTGCTGTTTTCAGTTAGTTTCATCCTTGGGACTGGACCTCTTTTTCATATGAGTTTGTGTCATTTCCTCAGTGCTAAGTTTCAAATGCACTTCGTTGAACAAATTGATCTTTTGGCACAAACCCATTAGCAGCACTGTTACTTAGGATCCCTCGCAGTTGGTCAGAGCTGTAATATTCCTTGGCATTTCCTTCAAATCAGATAACTAAAGTCGAAAGACTAAGGCCTAGTCTTTACCCTTATAATTATTGAAATAATTGACTTTTTTCCTACAAAACTCTTCATTTCTGTGAATCTATAAATGCAGACTATTATCCTGTTCTAAAAACAGACTATTATCTGTTCAGAAAATTCTGCTCAGATAAAGGTCATGTAAAGAATTCTATGATTAGGAGAAATGTGATTATTTTATTAACTTTCGGTTGTTAAACTTGTTGACATATTTCTGTCCTTTCCTATATTTCTGAATTACTTTAGCTTTGGGATCAAATAAGATATAATTATTTGTAGAGTAGAATAAAACTGCACATGGATGAATGTATATACAGTCTTATGTAATAGTGATGTAGTTCTATTTTTTTTGTTGTTACTGTTTTTTGTTTTGTTTTGTTTTTTTGATACAGAGTTTCGCTCTGATGCCCAGGCTGGAGTACAGTGGCACGATTGCAGCTCACTGCAGCCTTGACCTCCTGAACTCAAGCAGTCCTCCTGCCTCAGCCTCCTAAGTAGCTGAGGCTACAGGCGTGCACCAACATGCCTGGCTAATTTTTATATTTTTTTTGTAGAGACGTGATTTCACCACGTTGCCCAGGCTGGTCTCAAACTCCTGGGCTCAAGTGATCCGCCTGCCTTGGCCTCCCTAAGTGCTAGGATGATAAGCATGGTAGGATGATAAGCTGCACCCAGCCAATGTAATTCTTAATAATACGGGTTTTAAAAATCCATCCTATACACTATCATCCATCCTAGCCTCTCCTGAACCTCCAGGAAAATGCAAGTCGTTGGTGGTGGTTACAATTATAGACAAGGTGGCGTTTCATTTTTCCCAAAGCAAAATGCTTTAGGATCACTTCTTTTCCTCCAGGTAGATATTTCTTTTCTTTCTGTTTCTTGGTGTAAAGGCCAAATGTCTGTTAACAAAGTGAAAGTTTAATAGCTTACTTTTGATCAAATTAAAACTCAGCCAGAGGGTATCCCGACTTATTATAAATAATGTAGACTCTGTGGCATGTCATTAACTATGAATATGTATGCCTTGTACGTTTTCAAGTCTTCAGGCCTCTTTACCTTCCTCTTGCTATTTACAAGAGAAAACTGTTCTTAAGCTTTTATATCCAAATTTTCATTTAGAACTTGTACCAAACCCACACCTTAGGGGTATTAATCAAAGTGAATGGGCAGCGCCTCAGATGATGTGTTGGTTGTCTGATGACAAAGCTCACTGTTCTCTATGGCTCTTCCCACGGAGTGGCCCTGGCCAGTGTACCTGACCACAGCTGCGTCGTTCTACTTAGTTCAGTTTGGGCTTCTAGGTCCCTTCTGGGGCTCTGGGTGGCCAGTTACTCTTATTCTCTTATGGAAGGGTTCCACATTGCTCAACAGGGGTTAGAAGTGTCATCAACTGGCTGGGCGCAGTGGCTCATGCCTGTAATCCCGGCATTTTGAGAGGCCGAGGCGGGCAGATCATGAGGTCAGGAGATCGAGACCATCCTGGCTAACACGGTAAAACCCTGTCTCTACTAAAAATACAAAAAAAAAAATTAGCCGCACAAGGTGGCGGGTGCCTGTAGTCCCAGCTACCGGGAGGCTGAGGCAGGAGAATGGCATGAACCTGGGAGGCGGAGCTTGCAGTGAGCCAAGATGGCACCACTGCACTCCAGCCTGGGCCACAGAGCGAGACTCCGTCTCAGAAAAAAAAAAGAAGTGTCATCAACTAACAAAGAAGCCTCAAATGCACAGGTAGATAGTAAAGTTAGGTTGGAAGTGGCTGTGAGTTCAGCCTGACAGAGACCACATAATTAAACCAATATGGCTTAAGCATCTACTATGCACTGAGTTCTGGGCAAGGGGCTAAGAATACAAAGATGGGTAGATGGCATTGTGGACACGATTCCTGTCCACGGAAACGCGCATTCTAGCTGAAGAAGATGAGCAATGCACCATGATAGAACAGGGGGAGCAGTGTGCTAGGGAATCCACACAAGGCATGACGCTTGCATAGACCAGGACCACGTGGAAGATACGGCCCATCCTGTAGTGCAGCATGGTTCTGGGGCCAACAGCAACCTGGGCACTTGTTAGAAAGCTCAGGCCCCTTGATTGGGCGCGGTACCTCAAGCCTGTAATCCCAGCACTTTGGGAGGCTGAGGCGGGTAGATCACCTAAGGTCAGGAGTTCGAGACCAGTGTTGCCAACATGGTGAAAACCTGTCTCTACTAAAAATACAAAAATTAGCTGGGCGTGGTGGTGCAGACCTGTAATCCCAGCTACTCAGGAGGCTGAGGCAGGAGAATCGCTTGAACCTGGGAGGTGGAGGTTGCAGTCAGCCTGCATTGCACCACGGGACTCTAGCCTGGGCGACAGAGCAAGACTCTGTCTCAAAAAAGACAAAAAGGAAAGAAAAAAAAAGAAATCTCAGGCTCTCAGGCCCCACCTCAGCCCTCCCAAATCACAACCTACTTTTCAACAGGATTCCCAGGTAATTTATATGCATAGTGAAGTTCGAAAAGCACTGCTCTACTGTATTTAAGTTGGGCCAAAGGAGTTGTTATAGGGAAATCATTCACTTTTACACGTTCATTTATTTAGTAATTCACTTCCTTGGTAACTACTTATTGGCTACTTACCATGTACCAAGCACACACCAGGCATTATATTTATACTACAGTTCTTCCGTGAAGCAGCAGGGTTTTTATTATGATGCATAAATAAATAACAGCAATACAAAGCTAGGTTGGAAAATAAGCCTTGTGAATTAGACTCCTTCCTGGGTGGGCACGAAGAGCCACAAAAGGGCTGACACTTGATTTGGATCTTGACGGTGAGCAGGAGTTCCCTAGGCAAACAGTAAAGGGAAGGGCAGTTTTGGGGCAGAGAATTCAGCATATGTACGTAAGACATGAACAATGTACTTTGAGAGAAAGGCTGGTGGTTTTGCAGAGCTGAATGTGGCAAAAGGTGAGGCCAGAAAGGCAGGTTGGGGCCAGATGGTGAAATCCTTATGCATTATGCTAAGAAGGTGGGGCTATGTAGTGTTTGAAGTTGTTTCCTTTGCCATAGGTTTTGTTGTTTGTTTTTTGTTTTTGAGACAGAGTCTCACTCTGTCGCCAGGCTGGAGTGCAGTGGCACGATCTCGGCTCATTGCAACCTCCGCATTCTGGGTTCAGGTGATTCTCCTGCCTCAGCCTCCAGAGTAGCCGGTACTACAGCCATATGCCACCATGCCTGGCTGATACCTCAGGTGATCCACTCGCCTTGGCCTCCCAAAGTGCTGGGATTACAGGTGTGAGCCACCGTACCCAGCCTGCATGGGTTCTTAAGCAGAAAGCAACACACTGTGAATAATGACTTAGGAATTGCATAAGATAGATGGAGAGGGGAAGAGATTAGAGGCCCTGATACGTGTTGGGAGACTTTAGTGGATGGCTAGAGGGTGAGGTAGTTAGTATGTGACCTAGAGTGTGACAATGGCAATGCAAAGAGATGGAGTAGCCACTGAGTTGGAGGACAAGGGACATAAAATCTAACACAAAATTTCCAATCTGGAAGTCTGGGAGAGAATCGTGGTAATATAAAAATAGGGAAATCGCAAGGAGGAGCTGGTAGAGAAGGAAGAAAAATCTTCACCTGGGGTTTCACTGCATTGTGTTTGAGGTGCGGGAGGTATAGGAGAGACATCCAAACACGTGGAGTCAGGAGGTGAGATTTAGATCTGGAATTCACTGAAGGGGGAGACCCCGATGTACGTGTTGGGAGTCATCTACCTAGAAAAGACCGGCAAATAAATAAGATGGTTAAAAAAGAGAGAGTGAGATCAAGGATAAAACCTTGGAAAACACTATTATTTCAAGAATGGGGTAAACTAATCAAGGAGACAAGAGATAGGAGAACTAGAAGAATGGAGAGTCTCAAAGCTATAGGGAAAACAGGCTGGCCAGTGATACCAACTGTAGTAAGCTGTGGTGAATAAGGATTGGACAAAGGCTGTCATCAGCCATGTTTACCATGTTATTAGTAACCTTCCAAGAGCAGTTTCTGGAGGACTGGAGGCAGATGCAGTTTTACAGAATTAAGGAGTAAAATGTTTTTGTAATCAAAGTACTTTGGGAGGTTGAGGCGGTTGGATCACAAGGTCAAGAGATCAAGACCATCCTGGCCAACATGATGAAACCCCGTCTCTACTAAAAATACAAAAATTAGCTGGGCGTGGTGACGCATGCCTGTAGTCCCAGCTACTCAGGAGGCTGAGGCAGGAGAGAATGGCTTGAACCCAGGAGGCAGAGGTTGCAGTGAGCTGAGATCGCGCCACTGCACTCCAGCCTGGTGACAGAGAAAGACTCTGTCTCAAAAAAAAAAAAAAAAAAAAAAGGAGTAAGAAGTTTTCCTGTAATGATCTCTTGATTATTTCTGGACCAGTTGTCTAATTTGATGGATTATTTCTTATGGCTTCAATTTCTGCCTTTTGAAATTTGGGGTATTTGTGAATTTTCATTTTAATCTGTGCTATATCTTCAATAGAATAGGTGAAAAATAGTCAAATATCTCCAATTTCACACACAGTCATTAAGAGCTATACTGTGAAGCTCTAAGTAAATGTGTTCTATTTAGAACTGTTTTTATTATCTCATAAATACCTTTGAGTTTTAGTGTCAGTTGATAATGATGCAGGGAAGGTGAACCCCAAAAGTGGGGCTTAGCCAGGAGGGTTCTTGGCTTTGCCCAGGCGAGAATTCAAGGGTGAGCCAGCGGTGTTAGACAGCAGCTTCTATGGCAGCAGCAATGTGCAGCAGCAGCAGGGGTACCATAGGAACTGTGCCCAGAGTAGCAGCTCAGGGACCATTCTGCCATTATATTTATATTCACTTTTAATTATAGGCAAATTAAGGGGGAAGTTATTCAGAAAGTTCTAGAAAAGAGGTGATAACTTCCAGGTCATTGCCATGGAAAGGGGTAGTTAGTAACTTCCAGGTGTTGCCATGGCAGTGGTCAACTGACATGGCCCTGGTGGGCATGTCTTCTGGAGAGGTGCTTTCACCTCTTTCCCCCATTGCAGCGAGTCTTCAGTCTGGTTTGGCATTCAAGTCCTGCCCAGCCCCAGTCAAGCCTGCCTCATACCTTAATAAGAATCTATAAATATTTTAGAGTATTTCTTTTCTTTTCTTTTCTTTTTTTTTTTTTTTTTGAGTTGGAGTTTCGCTCTTGTCACCCAGGCTGGAGTTCAGTGGTGGCATGATCTTGGCTCACTGCAACCTCTGCCTTTCGTGTTCAAGCGATTCTCCTGCCTCAGCCTCCCGAGTAGCTGGGACTACAGGTGCGCGCCACCACACCTGGCTACTTTTTGTACTTTTTTTAAAAATAGAAATGGGGTTTCACCATGTTGGCCAGGCTGGTCTCGAAATCCTAACCTCAGGTGATCCTCCCGCCTTGGCCTCCCAAAGTGCTGGGATTACAGGCATGAGCCACCACACCTGGCCATTTTAGAGTATTAAATCTTTCTCTCCATCAATCAAAATAGTAGTAGCTTTTAAAGCTGCCTACTTTAATGGTCAGTATTATTTTATTTACCAGAACTTTTTCATAATCAAGAATTCAAAGCTCTCTAAAATAAGGGCTAGCAAGTTAATATACATTTATTGAACCTGCGAGGCGGTTGAACCTGTGAGGCGGAGGCTGCAGTGAGCGTAGATCACACACTGCACTCCTGCACTCCAGCCTGGGTGACAGAGCAAGATTCCATCTCAAAAAAAAAAAAGAAAGAAAAAAGAAGCTTCTCCAACCTCTGCTTATCACCATGCCCACCACAAGCTGGAAGTTATCCTTCCATCCTCAGCGGCTGCATAGCACTTCTTATACTCTCCATTTCTTTTGTGTTGCTTAGCATTTCCTACCTTATATGGCAGTTATTTTCTCATTCAGTAACATGTTTATGAAGCACTTAACCATGTTTCAGGCACTGTGCCACATTGAAACATGGAATTCCCTCCTAAGAGAGTTCCAAAAACCCTACGAAAGGAGGAAAGACACATTTTGGTTGAGGCTTGAAGGCTGTTTTCCAGATAGTCAGTTGGGCAAGAGCCTTCCAAACTAGACACGCCCTGAGCAAAGACTCAAAGTCTGGGAGCCAAGTGCCTGCCACGTCTGGGAACACAGAAGTATCCTCTCTTCCTAAACTATGAGCTCATTGAATGCAGGCTCCATTTCCAGTTCAGCCTGAGATCAGTAGCAGTGACTGGTACCCTGGTTCTGGGACAGCAGTGACTTGAAAACAGATAGGATTCAAACACATTTGCTAAATCCACTGTATTCATTTGTCATCACAATGAAATTTCCAAAGCGTTAGTCCATTAACTATAGATCATGTCTGTTTTTCAAAAGCTGCATGAAAATGTGTCTTTTTTTTTTTTTTAATGATGGAGTCTCGCTCTGTCGCCCAACCTGGAGTGCAGTGGTGTGAACTCAGCTCACTGCAACCTCCACCTCCCGGGTTCAAGCTATTCTCCTGCCTCAGCCTCAAGAGCGGCTGGGATTACAGGCACGCACCACCATACCTGACTAATTTTTGTATTTTTAGTAGAGACAGCGTTTCACCATGTTGGCCAGGCTGGTCTCAAACTCCTGACCTCAGGTGATCCAACCTTCTGTGCCTCCCAAAGTGCTGGGATTACAGGCGTCAGCCACCGCACCCAGCCAAAATGTGTCTTTCCTTCTGTCCAGTGATAGGAATGGAATGGACAATGCATTTTATTCAGGAACACCCATCAACCGCCCACACCTCCTCTGCTCCTGTCCCTTGTCACCCACTGCCTTTCATTCTCAGTTGGTATAAACTCAGGAAACAGAAGGTAGTATTAACTTAAGCAAAAACTGTTTTCTTAAAAAGGGAAATGGGGGAAGGTGCAGATTATCTTCTAAAGGTAAAACAAACCCTTCATAAAACAGAACACACAGGCTGGGCGTAGTGGCTCCCGCCTGTAATTCCAGCACTTTGGGAGGCTGAGGCAGGCAGATCCCCTGAGGTCAGGAGTTCGAGACCAGCCTGGCCAACATGGTGAAACCCCGTCTCTACTAAAAATACAAAATTAGCCGGGCATGGTGGCGCATGCCTATAGTCCCAGCTACCCGGGAGGCTGAGGCAGGAGAATCGCTGGAACCCAGGAGGCGGAGATTGCAGTGAGCTGAGATCATGCTACTGCACTCCAGCCTGGGCGACAGAGCAAGACTCTGTCTCAAAAAAAAAAAAAAAAAAAAAAGAACACATAGGCAAGCCCTGGCCACGGTTTATTGGTCCAGTCTGCACCCTTGATGCAAACTAAGCATCCCTAAATAAACAAAATGCATATATAATATGGAGCCAAAGGTAACTAATCTTTCTAACAGCTATTGTTTTGCCTTAACCCCCACCTCTACTATCTACTAAGTATAGATAATTGGAGAAAGTACAGTCGTTTCTGTATGCCCCTGAAATCTGAAAGAAAAAAACCTGAATTTAGTGGTAGTTCAGACTTAGGCCCTTCTGGCCAAATGAAGTAGCTGTCCAGCTAATTCAAGCCACATGTCCCTCTTGGTCTTTATATAACTGTTGGGCCTCTTGAGTTTGTTTCTTTGATGAGTATACTCTGCTATCTTTAACCCTGGAAAGTTTTCCCATGGAAAATTTAATTTTATCTTTCCTTTTTTATGAGAAATTGTATTCTCAAGCTGGCAGACAAGAAGAAAAGACAATCTGGAAATTCCAGATTTGATCTAAATGTCAGCAAAGCCAAACTAATAATTATGGCCACATATCAAGGCAATTTATGCAGAATATATGGATCACTTGAGCATATTAGATTGTGTTCATTATATTCTTTTTCATTTTTGTTCTCTTTCTTTTTTTTTTTTTTTTTGAGACAAAGTCTTGCTCTGTCGCCCAGGCTGGAGTGCAGTGGCACGATCTCGGCTCGCTGCAGTCTCGCCTCCCGGGATCAAGCGATTCTTGTGCCTCAGCTTTCTGAGTAGCTGGGATTACAGGTTGTGCCACCATGCCTGGCTAATTTTTATATATTTTGTAGAGATGAGGTTTCACCATGTTGGCCTGTTGGCCAGGCTGGTCTCGAACTCCTGACCTCAAGCGATCCACCTGCCTTGGCCTCCCAAAGTGCTAGGATTACAGGCGTGAGCCACTGTGCCTGGCCATGTGTTCATTATATTCTTCTGGACTCTACTCTGAGGGCTTGGTCTGCTTTTATCAAAAATTTTTACTTTGAGCATGTAGAAAAGAAATCACCACCTATGTTTTTAGAAGGGCCACATCTGGGTATACAGGTAGCAGTTTGAGTACCCATACAGGCATTCTGTTTTTGACTTCAGTACACTATTTAATAAATTACCTGAGATATTCAACCCTTTATTGTAAAATAGGCTTGGTGTTAGAAGGTTTTGCCCAACCGTGGACTAATGTAAGTGTTCTGAACACGTTTACGTTAGCCTAGGCTAAGCCACGAGGTTCAATAGATTAGGTGTATTAAATGCATATTTGACTATTACAATATTTTCAACTTATAATAGGTTTATGGGACGAAACCCCATTATAAGTCAAGGAGCATCTGCATAAATTAGAGAAAAACAAACATAAAGACACTAAGTTACTGGTTTACAGGTACTAATATAGACAGCACATGTTATTCCCAGGCTGTTTTCTGATTTTAAGCTGTTGTTACTTCTCTAAAGCAACTTTGCTTTCTGCTCTGTCTTTTTTTCATGTACTGCCAAAGCTCAGATCTTTCCAGGTCATCAAAGGAATGACATACAGGGACCACAGGAGGGTGGGAGGAGTGGAGAATCATGAAACCATCAGAAATCATCGACGAAACCATGAGATCTGAGTTTTTTGACCTTTCCCCTGGTCTTTGTATCTTGGGATAAGGGTGTTTGGAGCTTTGCCTCTGAAGAAAACGGATCCAAATGGGCCCCACAATTCCTTCATATTTGTGGGACTGTCTTTTTATTTTGACTGTATTTAAGTACCGTTAGTACTTTCATGGAAATCTGAAATTCCAGTAGTGTTCTGTTTTCCCCAAATTGACTTTTTAAAAATTATTAATAAACATATATTTAAAATATTATACAGCACTTCACTGTGGTATTATTAACAATTCTGTGTTCTTGGAAAGGCCCCCAGAAACTTTGTTTTTATTGACAGAAGTCTCAAAATTCTAAGAAGTGGAGCCGGGTGCAGTGGCTCACGCCTGTAATCCCAGCACTTTGGGAGGCCAAGGCAGGAGGATCACTTAAGCCCAGGAGTTTGAAACCAGCCTGGGCAATGTGGTGAGACCCCATCTCTACAAAAAAAAAATTTTTTTAATTCCAATAAATGATAAAAATAAGAGAATGGAGACAAAAGTCATAAATTCAATTCAGTTACACTCACATTATACAGGATGATCATCTTTTAGTTTTATGTGCACCTTTTTACTTGACTATAGTTGTCTTCTAATAAAAGTGTGCTATAAATATGAATGTAAAATTTGCAAGTTATTATGGAAATTAACAAATTTGGAAAGGTGTCAGTTTCACTAAGTTATTGATCAATGTACATCTTGCATAAAATAGAAAGAAATTAGTTTTGACATTGAAAATATAAACACACTCTGTCTGGGCGTGGTGGCTCACGCCTGTAATCCCAACACTTTGGGAGGCCAAGGCAGGCGGATCACGAGGTCAGGAGATCGAGACCATCCTGGCTAACATGGTAAAACCCCATCTCTACTAAAAATACAAAAAACTAGCCGGGCATGGTGGCAGGCGCCTGTAGTCCCAGCTACTCAGGAGGCTGAGGCAGGAGAATGGCGTGAACCTGGGAGGCGGAGCTTGCAGTGAGCCGAGATCACGCCACTGCACTCCGGCCTGGGCAACAGAGCAAGACTCCGTCTCAAAAAAAAAAAATATATATATATATATATATGTATAAACACACCCTACAGTATGAATTTGTGAAGGAAGACCATCTGATTTATGTGTATAAAACATTAGGTCTGTTCTAAAACTGGTAGTTCTTTCTTTTAATCACTCCCTCCTATTATGCTATATGAGAGGCTTATCATGTTCATGTTTTATGTTCCATATTACACAAGGCCATTTGGGATTCTTTGTCTTTGGAAAAATTGATAAAGAGTATTTTATTAAAATATTCAGTTGTCACTTTGGGAGGCCAAGGTGGGAGGCTCTCTTGAGCCCAGGAGTTCGAGACCAGCTTGGGCAACATAGTGAGACCAAAAAAAAAAAAAGTTCCATTGTAAAGCATTGTTAGTCTCTATAGTTGTAGCATGAAGATGTAAGTGTACTTGTGATTGAAATGGCTTTGTGATTTTGAAACTGCTTTTAGTTTTTGAGACAGGGTCTCTGTCTCCCAGCTAGAGTGCAGTGGTGCCATCATAGCTCACTGCAGCTCAATCTCCCGGGATCAAGCAATCCTCCCACCTCAGCCTCCCAGCTCCCAGGTAGCTGAGACCACAGGCACATAACCACCACACCCGGCTAATTTTTTTACTTTTAGTAGAGACAGGATCTCACTATGTTGCCTGTGCTGATCTCTAACTCCTGAGCTCAAGTGGCCCTTCCACCTCAGCCTCCCAAAGTACTGGGATTACTTTACTTTACTGGGATGAGCTACTGCACTGGGCCTAACCTGCTTTTAAAGTGTATGATTGGAGACCTATAAGTTGTCACTGCTACCTAGAGATCATTAATGGTAAGCCGGGTGGTTATTGGGCCAGGATAGTTCAGAGATGGGCAGTTAAAGAGAATCTAACTGACAAACAAAAGGGAGTGTGTGTTTGTGTCCATGAAGGACAGTTCGAGGAGGGGCTCATAAAGGAAGGATGAGGGAGAGGAAATACCCATGAACAGTGCCACGGCATGTCAGCTGTTTCATTTTGTGGCTTTATGTACAATCTTCACAAATATGTAAAGACAGGTGGCTCACAACAGTACTACCACTAAGCTAGCTCTGTGGAAGAAACATCTTAACAAAAATTGTTCTGTGAGCAACATAATCCACCTGTTCCAAGAGACTGTCAGGTGATATTTTTTTCATTTTTTTGGTCTCCCACTTTTTTTTTTTTCAGTTTGAGAGCAGGTACTGTTTATTAACTGACCAGCTTAGAAAAATAATCATGGTAGACACCTTAGTTCATTCTTCTAATAAGCCTGTTGATCTGGTCCTCCCTGTTGCCAGCATCTCCACCTTCTACAAAATGGGTGGTCTTTTTCTTCATTCTGCCTCGTGGAGAAGATAATTTGAAGGGCCACAGGAAGTTATTTGCTTCTTTGAAGTGTTTTCCAATGGTATAGATCTCATGAATCAGATCCTCCCTGCAGATGATGCCATATTTACCGAGAGATTGAGCCATCAAAGCCTCATCTGTCAAAGCAATTCGCTTCTTACTGATTTTGCCATAACCACACTTATGGATTAGTTCATTTACTGACTTCAGAATTGGGTACCCCCATGCAGTGTATGGCTCTACAATCCTCAGCATGTTAACTGAAGCCTTGTTGAGCTTCACAAAGGTTCTGTTGAAGATTTGACGAAGGGAAGAAGCTGCAACACCTTTCAGACCTTTGGGCTCACACCATTGATACCTCTGATCCTGATGACAAACGCCAATTTGGGTTCTGCAGGTACATAGAAGTTGCCAGCTTTTCTTGCCATCCTCGCCATTTGAATTTCAGTTCTGTACATCTGCCTATATTCCTTGTGATAGTGCTTCGCTTTTTCATAGATAAGCTTCTTCCTTGCCTTTCAAAGCATCTTTTGGACAAACTTCTTTCTCAGGTGCTTGATCTTCAGCTCTGCGAAATTCCTTCGCTTTTTCTTAAGCATTTCTGGCACAGCAGGAACCTTCTTCTTCTCTTCTACACCTTCCATGGTTCCAGCCAGAAAAAGAGTGGTCTCTGCTTGTTAAAAATGGGTAAGAACACTAATAGGTTGTCTGACCTGTACTTAAAGTTGGAGATCAATGTCGTCTATATACATTCCCCCCATGCTTAAAGCCCTTCAGCTTCTCCTTTTAGGATAAAGATACCTGCAAATCACCCAGACCGTCCTGAGGAGAGCTGGTCACTTCCACCTTTGCACCCCAGCATCCCTCATGCATGTGATGTGTGGTTCATATCACACTTCATCTACAATTACTTCTTTGTGCATTTGTCACCTCCACTAGATTATGAGCTTCTTAAAAAACAGAACGTATGCCTGTTTCCTCATCAAGTACCCCATTCCCAGCAAGGTAGCCCTTGGTAAATGTTTGTTTAGTAGACTGACAAAGCAGCCTTAGTTATTCAATTCACTTTTAATCCAACTATTAAGAGTTAGATTCTACTCAAACCAAATTCTCTACTACCTCTATTGTTGGGTTTGAAAATCTTTTTTTTTTTTTTTTTTTTTTTGGAGGCAGAGTCTCACTCTATCCCCCAGGCAGGAGTGCAGTGGCACGATCTGGGATCACTGCAACCTCCGCCTCCCGAGTTCAAGTGATTCTCCTGCCTCAGCCTCCTGAGTAGCTGGGATTACAGGTGTGTGCCACCATGCCTGGCTAATTTTTGTATTTTTAGTAGAGACAGGGTTTCACCATGTTGGCCAGGCTGGTCTCGAACTCCTGACCTCAGGTGATCCGCCAGCCTCGGCCTCCCAAAGTGCTGGGATTACAGGCGTGAGCCACCGCGCCCAGCTGGGTTTGAAAATCTTAGAGTTTAGGTAGGGTGCAGTGGCTCACGCCTGTAATCCCAACACTTTGGGAGGCCGAGGTGGGTGAATCATTTGAGGCCAGGGGTTTGAGACCAGTCTGGCCAACATAGTGAAACCCCTTCTCTACTAAAAATTCAAAAAAATTAGCCAGGCGTGGTGGCAGGCACCTGTAATCCCAGCTACTGGGAGGCTGAGGCAGGAGAAATCACTTGAACCCAGGAGGTAGAGGTTGCAGTGAGCTGAGATCACGCCACTGCACTCCAGCCTGGGCGACTGAGCGATACTAAAAAAAAAAACACACACACACAAAAAAAACTGGAAGTGTTGGCCAGGCGTGGTGGCTCACGCCTGTAATCCCAGCACTTTGGGAGGCTGAGGCAGGCATAACACCTGAGGTCGGGAGTTCAAGACTAGCCTGACCAACATGGAGAAACCCTGTCTCTACTAAAAATACAAAAAATTAGCTGGGCGTGGTGGTGCACTCCTGTAATCCCAGCTACTCGGGAGGCTGAGGCGGGAGAATCACTTGAACCCGGGAGGTGAAGGTTGCGGTGAGCCGAGATCACACCATCGCACTCCAGCCTGGGCAACAAGAGCAAAACTCCATCTCAACACCCCCCACCAAAAAAAAAAAAAAAAAAAAGAACTTGGAAGTGTTTTCCCTTTCATAATAAAATCTAAAGTAATAAAGCGATTAGTATTTCAAGAAGTAACATTTAATGAAAACAAATTTTGATGTACATTAGTATAGAACTATATTAAATAGAGTATACTTATATATAGTATATGTATCCAAAAAAATCACAAACCTTCCACACACTGCATATTGGTTTCATTATTTTATAGCTACAGTTCATATATTTAAAAATAGAGGAGGCAGCTGTTCCCAGGACAGCTGAAATTAACTTAGAGTAAGGGATTTGCAGTACAGTAGCTTTTTAAAAAGTCTTTGTGCCAATTTAAAAAAAGTATATAATTGAATATCTGCTCTCAAAATTAATCTTAATAGACCTTAAATGCAGCATTTTTCGGCGTTGTGCTGTGTTCTTGCAACAGAAGTGAACTTTTGTACTCTGAATATGGGCATTTAAAATCATAGATGTGCAGCTTTTCTTTCTTTTTTTTTTTTTTTGAAATGGAGTCTCCCTCTGTCACCAGGCTGAAGTACAGTGGCGTGATCTCGGCTCACTGCAACCTCTGCCTCCTGGGTTCAAGCGATTCTCCTGCCTCAGCCTTCTAAGTAGCTGGGACAACAGGCGTGTGCACCATGCCGAGCTAATTTTTGTATTTTTAGTAGAGATGGGATTTCACCCTGTTGGCCAGGATGGTCTTGATCTCCTGACCTCGTGATCCACCCACCTCGGCCTCCCAAAGTACTGTGATTACAGGCGTGAGCCACTGCGCCCAGCCTCATTTTTTTAAGTTGTAAACCATTGTTACAATGACTCCAATAGAACGTACTTTTTCATTATTCCCAGTCTGAGGCGCTAAGATACTTAAGTGACTCATTTCATCAACGTAACAAAGTTGTTTTTTAAAAAAGCATTTGTGTATGGATCACTGCTCCTTAACTAAGGTTAAGTCTGTCTCCCTTCAGGCTCCTAGGCCAGGATACCTCCATTCAGTTCTCAACTTCACTTTCCTGTCCATGTGGCTTTGTGCAAGTTACATGACATCAGAATCCTGTAGGTCCTGGAAGCTTTTAGATGTATGATTCTACATTGTAGAAATAAAATGAAACTAACTGTTAGGATAAAACATACTATAAAAGAATTTGTTATTAAGAAAAGCCTTCTTTTGAGAAGGACCAGAAATATTCTGATAATTTACAAGTAAACATCTCTTATTTGGTGTCTTTGTTGAATTCTCCATGTGCAGATCCAACCATATAGCTTGTGTTCATTCTGCAGAGGCACGAATGCAGTCTGCAGGCTATGGCTGCAGTTTCTCAAGACTGTCACTGGTAAATGGTAGGGAAGAGAACCCTGTCATGTCTTACCCATCTCAGTCAGGTTCCTGGGCAGGTACTGTTAGTTCAGAGGCTCTTCCTAGCCCTCGTTCTTGGCACCGCCTACACAAGGTTTGCCCATCTGGGAGCGATCCTTTTGTATCTCTAGACTGATCTAACTCAGATTGTAAAGGATACAAAATCTGCCCTCCGCCCGTGCCCCCTCTCCTGTGGGCTCTGCTGTCCCACAGAGCCTGTTCTCCCACAGTTGCCCACTGGGATTGAGAAGTAGTGGATCACTCGATGGGCACCCAAGGCTGCAGGCTCTGATCTGATCCTTTCCTTCTCATCCAGTCTAGACAACCTGGTACATTACCTCTGCCATGAGAGTCTAACTTTAAAATGAAATCACCCTGAGGGGTCGTGTTTTTCAATCTCTAGTCTCCAGAAGACAGGTCACAACCCTATCTCAGAACAACTTGAGCCCTAGACGGAGAGTCAAGATCTGGGTACATGTACCCCCCTACTGCAACCAGTGAGTACGCAGGAAAAATGAACCAGGCAAGAGGCCAGTTTCTAGAAGCAGGGCACAGAGTCACAACAAAACCAGCATCCAGGGTGACTTAATTGTCAAAGCACAAGACATCTTATATTCCCATAGGATCAAGACTGGTTCCAGAGGTGCTGTAGGAGCTCAGTCAACTGCTAAAAGTCACTGGGGGATGGAACAAGGGGTTGTGGAGATAAAAACTGAGCCAGATATTGCACCACTTCCCAATACTTCTGTCGTATTTATTCTAGCCGGAGGCCCACAGGCTGCGCTACATATGAGTCAAGGTAGCCCAGACCTTCCTTTAATTTGGCTAATGACTTTTTTTTTTTTTTTTTGAGATGGAATCTCACTCTTGTCACCCAGGCTGGAGTGCAGTGGCGCAATCTCGGCTCACTGCAACCTCTGCCTCCCAGGTTCAAGCGATTCTCCTGCCTCAGCCTCCTGAGTAGCTGGGATTACAGGTGCCCACCACCACGCCAGGCTAATTTTTGTATTTTTGGTAGAGACGGGGTTTCGCCATGTTGGTCAGGCTGGTCTTGAACTCCTGACCTCAGGTGATCTTCTGCCTCGGCCTCCCAAAGTGCTGGGATTATAGGCG
Source organism: Homo sapiens (assembly GCF_000001405.40). NCBI lineage: Eukaryota > Metazoa > Chordata > Mammalia > Primates > Hominidae > Homo > Homo sapiens. The sequence goes on from NC_000006.12 coordinate 17,535,555, forward strand.
TGAGCCACCGTGACTGGCCATGACTTTTTTTTTTTAAGTCCAAATATAGCATAAAAGATTTCCCTGAAGAAGGCTTTAGAATCAAGGAGATATGTGATTCAATAATGTCTTTACCATTGACTGGCCATTTAATATTGAATTTAAACAGCCTTTCTGATTTCCTGCCGTATTTTTGTTAAAGAGATATTTCAGTACAGTCCCAGTAATATGGTTGTCATAATTAAGATTAATTTCAACACATAGGAAAGAATGTTTATTCCCAAATTTGTCTACAGATTGGAATCACCTAGGGAAGGTCCAAAAATACAGATGCCTATGTTGCTACCTCCTCCACCCACAAGAGTATTTCTGTGACACAGCCTAGTCGTCTTTGGAATTTTTGGCCTCCCAAAGTGCTGGGATTACAGGCGTGAGCCACCACACCCAGCTAATTTTTGTATTTTTAGTAGAGACAGTGTTTCACCATGTTGGCCAGGCTGGTCTTGAACTCCTGACCTCAGGTGATCCACCCAGCCCAGCCACCCAAAGTGCTGGGACTACATACAGGTGTGAGCCTCCGCGCCCAGCCTTCTCTCTGTTTTTTCTTGGGACATCTGAAGACAGTGTCAGGCTGTGATTCCACTTGTGGCCAGACATAAGAGAATATAGAAAGTTCTCCTGTCATGTGCTGTAATCTCCCACAGAATGAGAAGAGACGGAGGCAAAGATAAGTGACTTTGCAAGGGGCAGCTCACGGAGATCCAGTGAAGGGAACATCTAATCAGTTTGATTTCGAGTCCACTGTACGGTAAAGCACCTGAATGCTAATTGAAAAGTAACCTTGGAAACAAGAGCCCGGTATTGTGCTCTTGCTGGGGCCGATATGGGAATAAGCCAGGACATACAAAGGATTAGACCAAGATGGAGTTTCAACTGGTCCTGAGTTCCCTTATTTTTTGGCTTTTATTTTCAACTTTGTAGCATTAAATGCTTTGTCTCGCGTTCCTGGGCCAGCCATCTGAATGTATCAAAGTTCCAAAAAGTTGAATATGTGGCTTTTTAGTTTCAGTGTCCTTTAATGGCTCTTGGAGAGAGAGTCTCTGAATTCTGAGAGCTAGGGAACCATCTAAATCATTTTAAGATTTAGAAGCCAGCATCATCTTCCCTTTACACAAAATAGGACTATAAAGCTGCAGTGTTTCAGATGTTGGGGGAAGGGGCTGTCCCTTCACCGGCTGTATGAGTTATGATGTGCTTATGAGTAAAAGTAATACTTCGTGGTTCTCAGTGTCTGAGGACTAGAATACTGTTTGATGTCCAAAGCTTATATTATACTCTCTTTCTGATTCAGAGCAAATTCTCAAATTTTATCCCAGTAACATAGAAAACATTTCAAATACTGGTGAGAAAAATGGTCAGTCTCAGGAACTGTGAAATCATTTTCTACTTGACCTAAGAAACCTGATGGAATTAGGCTGCTCTTTCTTAGAAACAAAGACTATTGCAAATTAAATCTTCAGGAGATGAGCCCTCCAGCCTGCAGGGTTTCTAAAACATGCATTCTGAATAAGACAATTATATTTTATTTTCAGGGTAATTCTACACTTAATAGGAATTATATAAGTGCTTTGAAAATAGCGTGTTGTGTTGTTTTGTTTTGTTTTGCTTTGAGACAGGGTCTCACTCTCTGTTTTCCAGGCTGGGGTACAGTGGCGTGATCTCAACTCACTGCAACCTCTGCCTCCCAGGCTTAGGTGATCCTCCCACCTCAGCCTCCGCAGTAGCTGGGACTACAGGCATGCATCACCATGCTCAGCTAATTTTTTGTATTTTTTGTAGAGACAGGGTCTCACTTTGTTGCCCAGGCTGGTTTCAAACTCCTGGCTCAAGTGATCCAAGCGATCTACCCTTCTCGGCTTCCCAAAGTGCTAGGATTACAGGCATGAGCCACCATGCCCGAGCCAGCATGTTTTGTTTTGTTTTGTTTTTAACTGAAAACTACTACAGATTAAGAATCGCTGATTTTGATACTGCATAATACTAAATTGTTTATGACAATAAGGATATTCTGTTTTCATTAATATTTGGCACTTACGTAATGTTTTACCTTTCATATTTGATATTGAAAATTGATGAGTCCAAGCCACATTTCCATTACTCGCAATTTTTTAAGCTTCGTGACTATTTAATTTGTTTATAGTTCCCTATTATAGGTATACAGTTCTACTTGAGGGTTCAAAAGTAAAACAGGGCCGGGCACAGTGGCTTACACCTGTAATCCCAGCACTTTGGGAGGCTGAGGCGGGTGGATAATCTTGAGGTCAGGAGTTCGAGACCAGCCTGACCAACATGGCAAAACCCTGTGTCTACTAAAGATATAAAAATTAGCTGGGCTTGGTGGTGCATGTTTTTAATCCCAGCTACTCAACAGGCTGAGGCAGGAGAATTGCTTGAACCTGGGAGACTGATGTTGTAGGGAGCCGAGATCATGCCACTGCACTCCAGCCTGGGCAACAGAACAAGACTCCATCTCAAAATTAAATAAAAGTAAAACAGTATATAGGCCAAGTTTGTGGTATATGTGTGTTTCTATCCTACCAGTTTTAAGTTCTGTGAAAATATCACAGATATACAATATTTTGGATATTTTCCAAAATATTAAAACTGGTACTTTGGGAGGCCAGGGCAGGAGGATTACTTAAAGCCAGGAGTTCAAGACCAGCCTGGGCAACATAGTGAGACCTCATCTCTCAAAAAAAAAAAAAATTAAAAATTAGCCAGTTAGAGTGGCACATGCCTGTTGTCCCAGCTATTCAGGAGGCTAAGCCAGGAGAATCGCTTGCGCCCAGGAGTTTGGGGCTGCAGTGAGCTATGTTCACGCCACTGCACACAGCCTGGGCAGTAGAGTGAGACCCTGTCTCCTTAAAAAAAAGCAAAACTGAACTAAAGCAAGTCTCTCTCTTGTCTATCACGTCTTATTGCCATTTGAATTTGTTAGGCTTTCATACTGAAAACAAAGGTTGTGCTTTACATAGCAGTGAAAATAAGAATAACCATAGCTCTTGGATCAGGAAGAATCTAATTTTCAGTTGGTTCACTAACAGCCAACATTTGATGAAAAGTCATGTGGATCCTGGACCCTCATTACCTTCGGGTTTGACAAGCATCCCGGTCACATATGCTCCTTGTTTGGGGGTCAGTTTGCAGCAGGCATATTTGGAAAATCAGGTCCAGAGAGTTTCTGTATCTCTCTCTTTCACTGCTTAAAAAGGTTCGGAAACATCCAATCACCACTGAATATTTTTACCCTTCCCCACACCCCATTGGTGGTCACAGTTTCCAGTGTCTCAAAAGAGCTAATCGTTTTATCAATTGGATCACTTTTTTCTTGTGATTCTAAATTGGCCAAGGCCCAGTGTCATTTAGATCCTGAGCCTTGGACCTGGACTTGGGAGTATGGCTCGTTTGCCTCTGATTTGGCAGCAGGGCTCATTGCCGCACAGATCCTACTGATGGGGCCACACAGCTAAGTCATGTTCCACTTTCCCAAGCTGGAGCTGCCATGGTTCAGATCCTCCCAAACAGACCCATGATGCACAGGTGTGCCCTCTGGGAGCCTTTGCTCAGGCTTCAACCCCACTCTCTCATTGGCAGCAGGTTTCGACTCTCTCGGGCAAAATCCCAGCAAGGGCGCAGTCTCAATGCAATGCAATGCCCTGTCTTCTGTCTTCTCAGGGTCCTGTAGCATCCACAGTATCAGCGTTTTCTGTCCTCTCCTCTGGGCCTGGCCTTCCTCCACCCCCTCCTCCTCTGCCTCCTCCAGGGCCACCTCCACTTTTCGAGAATGAAGGCAAAAAAGAGGAATCTTCTCCTTCACGCTCAGCTTTATTTGCCCAACTTAACCAGGGAGAAGCAATTACAAAAGGTGAGAGAGAAAAGAAGACCTTGAAGCTGCCTCCCTTTCCCTCTGGCTCCCAGACACAAAAGAGCCGCTGGAGCCCCAGTGATGGATACATCACTCCATCCCTGCCTCCAGCATGCAGGGAGAGGGGGAACTGGTGCTGGGAAGACAGGAGCCTGCCATGTTCCTTATGTCCATGCAGACGGGCTCAGGGGGTCACTGTGTAGACCAGAAAGAAGTATTCAGAGACTCTGGGTTCTAAATGGACCACTGTGCTGCATCCTTGCTTTAGACCCCAGTACTTCCACATCATTGTCCACAACCAAGGCATCAAGATCAAGTGAAATAAAAATAAAAATGGCAGGCTGGGCATGGTGGCTCACACCTGTAATCACAGCACTTTGGGAGGCCAAGGCAGGCCTATTGCTTGAGCCCAGGAGTTCAAGACCAGCCTGGGCAACATAGTGAGACCCCATCTTTACCAAAAATAAACAGAAATTAGCTGGGCATTGTGGCACACACCTGCAGTTCTAGCTACTAAGGAATCTGAGGTGGGAGGATCGCTTGAGCCCAGGAGGTGGGGGCTGCGGTGAGCTGAGATCGCACCACTGCACTCCAGCCTGGGTGACAGAGTGAGACCTTGTCTCTAAATAAATAAAAGTGGCAAACATTAGCTCCTCTGTCCTGAAGCAGTGTACAGGCTTGTCAAAGAATTATATCCCACTATACTGGGCTTGGAGCTAAGAATCCAAAATTCTAAATTTTTCTCTGGCTCCAACTGGTTCTGCTGTGCCTTGTGAAACTCATTTGCAAAGTAAAGGAATGGATTCGTAAAGTCAATTCCATATCCTGATATATACTCACTGGAATGCCCTAACCTTTTAGGCTGTGTCTGGAGAATGATTTAGCCGTAAGAGAAGAAGTAAGACATGATCCTTTTTCGTGAGGTGGTTTGCTCTTTGCAGAATTTTTATCTATCATTTTATCTCCCAACAGAAGAGGTTCCTCAAATTAAAAAAAAAAAAAAAAATACTTGGCTGGTGCAGTGGCTCACGCCTGTAATCCCAGCACTTTGGGAGGCCAAGGAGGGTGGATCACCTGAGGTCAGGAGTTCAAAGACCAGCGTGGCCAACATGGTGAAACCCCATCTCTACTAAAAATACAAAAATTAGCTAAGCGTGTGGTGGTGCATGCCTGTAATCCCAGCTACTTGGGAGGCTGAGGCAGGAGAATCGCTTGAACCCAGGAGGCAGAGGTTGCAGTGAGCCGAGATCACGCCACTGCACTCCAGCCTAGGTGACAGAGCGAGACTCCATTTAAAAAACAACAACAACAACAACAACTTACAGTGCTTCTGTCAACTCTCAACTTGTACAGGACTCAGCTCCTGCATCCTGACTTGGAGAAAGCACTAGACTGTTTTGAAAGTGGCCTTACCAAAAGTTCTTGTGCTCTTTATTTACATCATGTTGATCTAGCAAGTTAGAGACATTTCCCTTTGCATAAAATAAATGTGTCCATGTGTGTTGTCCTCCTAGGGCTCCGCCATGTCACAGATGACCAGAAGACATACAAAAATCCCAGCCTGCGGGCTCAAGGAGGGCAAACTCAATCTCCCACCAAAAGTCACACTCCAAGTCCCACATCTCCTAAATCTTATCCTTCTCAAAAACATGCCCCAGTGTTGGAGTTGGAAGGAAAGAAATGGAGAGTGGTAAGTGAAGCATTTTAACCTTTATTTTCCTGACATGCGCCAATGAAAGGACCAACAGCCAAACCATTTACCAAGATCTGAAGGATTTCTTTTTTTTAATTTTTGTATTGGTACATAACATTTGTATATATTTATGGGGTACCTGTGATATTTTGTTACATGCGTAGAATGTGTAATGATCGGCACTTTGGGGGTTTGAGGTGGGAGGATCACCTGAGGTCAGGAGTTCGAGACCAGCCTGGCCAACATGGTGAAACCCTATCTCTACTAAAAATACAAAAATTAGCCGGGCATGGTGGCACGTGCCTGTAATCCCAGCTACTTGAGAGGCTGAGACAGGAGAATCACTTGAACCCGAGAGGTGGAGGTTGCAGCGAGCCGAGATCACGCCACTGCACTCCAGCCTGGGTGACAGAGTGAGACTCTGTCTCAAAAAAAAAGAATGGGTAATGATCAAGTCAGGATATTTAGGGTGTCCATTACCTTGAGTATTTATCATTTCTATGTGATGGAAGCATTTCAAGGCCTCTTTTCTAGCTATTTTGAAATATTTAAGACAGTGTTGTTAACTATATTTACCCTACTCTGCTGTCGAATTAGAATTTATTCCTTCTGACTATATGTTCGTACCCATTAACCACCAAGGTGAAGTGACAGAGGCAAAAACCACTGGCTAGAGTAGAAACCAGGGTGTTTCTGAATGCTTCCATAAACTTTATTTTCACAGGTTCTCATGCATTCTTTTCTTCAACTTTTTAAATTATTTTGTGAGTGGTGGTAAAATAGACGTAGCATAAAATGGACTGTTCACCATGTTTAACTGTCCAGCTCAGTGGCATTAAGTCTGTTCATATGGTTGTGCTGCCATCACCACCACCCACTACAGAACTCTTTTCATCTTGCAGAACCAAAAATCTGTACCCTTAACCAATAGCTCCCTGTTTCTCCCCCTGCACCCCTCCCAGCCCCTGGCAATTACCATTCTACTTTCTGTCTCTATGAATTTAGCTATTCTTTCTATAAGCTTTTAATCAGGCAGCAAGACAGACCGTTAATATATGGAACTGGGAAGTCTGTGCCCCACTCTGATGTGCTGTGAGATGTTTCGTTCAGTCCCATGGATGGAGGGATTGATACCTCTGTACCCTACTGCTGCCACCCCCCACTGCCCGGGCTAAGTGTGTGAGCAGGACATAGACACTTCAAATGGTAATGAAAGCTGGTGTCTCCTGCTGATCTGGAGGGCTTCCCTAAAGATGAAGGACCAAAGTCCCTGGAGAGTTGTCATCGCCTTGAAAACACAAGGGCTTAGACCACTGCTGTGACCCTTCACCAGCCTGTTTGCCCAACTCCTGTTTGACACAGCAGGTTTTGCTGCATCATCAAGTCCAGACTTGGCATCAAGGCCTCAACAAAAAGCTCTCACATCCCTGCTCCAGCCTCCCACCTGCTAGGGTGCCTGATACCTGATGTTTACAAAGAGATACTGACTTGCTTCCAAGAAGTGGTTCCGTTTTTCCCATCCTAACAATGACAGAGTAAGACCTGTGGTTTCATCTATAAGGAGATGGTTCCAAAAGAATATATTGCAAAGCCATACTTCATGCTGAGCTCGTACTAATTTCAGTGTGCAGTGGTTTCTGTTTATATATGCTGATGTTTAATATTTGTATTTGTCTTAATTCTAGGAGTACCAAGAGGACAGGAATGACCTTGTGATTTCAGAGACTGAGCTGAAACAAGTGGCTTACATTTTCAAATGCGAAAAATCAACTATTCAGATAAAAGGGAAAGTAAACTCCATTATAATTGGTAGGGCAGAATTATGGCTCTATGGTTATTATGATGTTTTATAAACAAGCTGTATGTATTTAGTGGAGTTGGTTTTTTGTTGTGTTTTTTCTCCCCACAGACAACTGTAAAAAACTCGGCCTGGTGTTTGACAATGTGGTGGGCATTGTGGAAGTGATCAACTCCCAGGACATTCAAATCCAGGTAAGCAGAGCCTTTCCAACCATGCTGTAATAAGCAGAGCCTTTCCAACCACGCTGTAATAAGCAGAGCCTTTCCAACCACGCTGTAGTAAGCAGCCTTTCCAACCACGCTGTAATAAGCAGCCTTTCCAACCACACTGTAAGCTGCGGCCTTGCACAGACCATCCACTCTGCCTCCAAGAAGCAGCCTTGCAGCCAGTCGCGGTGGCTCACGCCCGTAACCCTAGCACTTTGGGAGGCCGAGGTGGGCGGATCACGAGGTCAGGAGATTGAGACCATCCTGGCTAACACAGTGAAACCCTGTCTCTACTAAAAATACGAAAACAAAATTAGCTGGGCATGGTGGCAGGCGCCTGTAGTCCCAGCTACTCTGGAGGCTGAGGCGGGAGAATGGCGTGAACCCAGGAGGTGGAGCTTGCAGTGAGCGAGCCAAGATCGCGCCACTGCACTCCAGCCTGGGCGACAGAGCAAGACTCCATCTCAAAAAAAAAAAAAAAAAAAAAAGAAGGAGCCTTGCTCCCCCATGGCCACCTAAAATACTCCTATTCTTGTTCCCTCTGGACACAGCTCTATCATCACCTCCTTGGTAGACCCCTCTCTTACTTCTCAGTGTTAGTTCTTTCTTTTCAATCTCTTCTAACAGATCCCATTTTGTGTTTCCATTACTGGCATACCATCTCAATTTCAAGTACAGCTAACTGGCCAGGCATGGTGGCTCACGCCTGTAATCCCAACACTTTGGGAGGCCAAGGCGGGTGGATCACCTGAGGTCAGGAGTTTGAGACCAGCCTAGCTAACATGGTGAAACCCTGTCTATATTGAAAACACAAAAATTAGCCGGGTGGGGTGGTGGGTGCCTGTAATCCCAGCTACTTGGGAGGCTGAGACAGGAGAATCACTTGAACCTGGGAGGCAGAGGTTGCAGTGAACTGAGATTGTGCCACTGCACTCCAGCCTGGGCAACAGAGAGAGACTCTGTCTCAAAAAAAAAAAAAGAAAAGAAAAAAAGGACAGCTATGTAATCTTTATAGCCCCAGAAACTTGCACAGTACCTGCACATAGTAGGCGTCCAGTAAATGTTTGATGGGTATATGATTTGAGTGAATCAACTAATGCATAAATAAAAGTACTGTGAGACTCTCCTAGTATGATTAGCCCCATTCCAAAGAGAACTTTTTTCTCAGGAAAAATTGGTCCTAGATCATGAAGAGGAAAAGTTTTTCTAAAGAATCAGTGAGATCATCAGAAAAACAACTTGAGAAGTAGGGTTGGAGTTGAATTTGCAAAACAGAAGAAAATCTGTGAATTAAAATATATAATAATTTTGATTTAGCCACATGGAATTTTATGATATGCCAAAATCTAAAGGACTTCTTGGTTTTGGCCAATTATAACTTCTATCTTTTTTTTTTTTTGAGACAGAGTCTCGCTCTGTGGCCCAGGCTGGAGTGCAGTGGCCCAGGCCAGGCGCAATCTCGGCACACTACAACCTGCACCTCCCAGGTTCAAGTGATTCTCATATGCCTCAGCCCCCTGAGTAGCTGGGATTACAGGTGACCACCACCATGGCCCAGCTAATTTTTTGAATATTTAATAGAGACAGGGTTTCGCCATATTGGGCAGGCTGGTCTCAAACTCCTGACCTCAAGTGGTCCACCTGCCTCGGCCTCCCAAAGTGCTGGGATTACAGTCATGAGCCACAGCACCCAGCCCCAGTTTAGTATTTCTGATCACTACATTTATCCATTTAATAACACTGCTTTCTCTCCAAACTATTACGCATGCAAATTTTAAGGAGGTTGCTCATCTTCAGAAAAAGCCCGGTACTTCAAGGATGATCATGGTTCATAGAAACCTAATGAGACCACACTTTCTGAAGAGCTATTTTGGATGGTGGGAGTTCCTATGTAAAGAAACATGCTTTTTCCCACTTTACATTATTTTTAATTTTAAAAAACTAGAAGTAACAGCAGTGAAGTAATATTTGATGGCAGAGGTGAGGGTACATGTTTAGCCATAGTCATGCAATCATAGTGTGTCACAGTTGAAAAGTATCTTGGAAAGAATGCAACCTAACACACATACCACAAACACACCTTAATTTTAGAGAGTTTATTTCAAGCTCCCTTTCATTCGTACAGAAATTAAGCTTAGGTAGCAATGGTGAAACCATATATAAGCAGTTAGCATTTTTTTTAATGTAAATACATCACATCTGAAATACACAACCAAGTAAATTAAGTATAAAATGTGAAAATGGGAAGTTCTAAATATTCATCATGTTTTTGGAGGGAGAAAAAAATCTTAAACCAAGAAGAAACAGAGGAAATTTTCAAACAGATAGGCAGATATGTCTACCTAAAAATTTAAAACTTCTGAATTCCATTCAGTGGAATACTGTGTAACCATTTTTTTTGTATTATACTTTAAGTTCTAGGGTACATGTGCACAATGTGCAGGTTTGTTACATATGTATACATGTGCCATGTTGGTGTGCTGCACCCATTAACTAGTCATTTACATTAGGTATATCTCCTAATGCTATCCCTCCCCCTCCCCCAACCTCACAACAGTCCCCAGAGTGTGATGTTCCCCTTCCTGTGTCCAAATGTTCTCATTGTTCAATACCTATGAGTGAGAACATGCGGTGTTTGGTTTTTTGTCCTTGCGATAGTTTGCTGAGAATGATGGTTTCCAGCTTCATCCATGTCCCTACAAAGGACATGAACTCATCCTTTTTTATGGCTGTATAGTATTCCATGGTGTGTATGTGCCACATTTTCTTAATCCAGTCTATCATTGTTGGACATTTGGGTTGGTTCCAAGTCTTTGCTATTGCGAATAGTGCCGCAATAAACATATGTGTGCATGTGTCTTTATAGCAGCATGATTTATAATCCTTTGGGTATATACCCAGTAATGGGATGGCAGGGTCAAATGGTATTTCTAGTTATAGATCCTTGAGGAATCACCACGCTGTCTTCCACAATGGTTGAACTAGTTTACAGTCCCACCAACAGTGTAAAAGTGTTCCTATTTCTCCACATCCTCTCCAGCACCTGTTGTTTCCTGACTTTTTAATGACCGCCATGCTAACTGGTATGAGATTGTATCTCACTGTGGTTTTGATTTGCATTTCTCTGATGGCCAGTGATGATGATGCATTTTTTCATGTGTCTGTTGGCTGCATAAATGTCCTCATTTGAGAAGTGTCTGTTCATATCCTTTGCCCACTTTTTGATGGGGTTGTTTGTTTTTTTCTTGTAAATTTGTTTGAGTTCTTTGTAGATTCTGGATATTAGCCCTTTGTCAGATGAGTAGATTGCAAAAATTTTCTCCCGTTCTGTAGGTTGCCTGTTCGCTCTGATGGTAGTTTCTTTTGCTGTGCAGAAGCTCTTTAGTTTAATTAGATCCCATTTGTCAATTTTGGCTTTTGTTGCCATTGCTTTTGGTGTTTTAGACATGAAGTCCTCGCCCATGCCTATGTCCTGAATGATATAAAAACTCTCAATAAATTAGGTATTGATGGGACGTATCTCAAAATAATAAGAGCTGTTTATGACAAACCCACAGGCAATATCATATTGAATGGGCAAAAACTGGAAGCACTCCCTTCGAAAACTGGCACAAGACAGGGATGCCCTTTCTCACTACTCCTATTCAACATAGTGTTGGAAGTTCTGGCCAGGGGAGTCAGGCAGGAGAAGGAAATAAAGGGTATTCAATTAGGAAAAGAGGAAGTCAAATTGTCCCTGTTTGCAGATGACATGATTGTATATCTAGGAAACCCCATCGTCTCAGCCCAAAATCTCTTTAAGCTGATAGGCAACTTCAGCAAAGTCTCAGGATACAAAATCAATGTGCAAAAATCACAAGCATTCTTATACACCAATAACAGACAAACAGAGAGCCAAATCATGAGTGAACTCCCATTCACAATTGCTTCAAAGAGAATAAAATACCTAGGAATCCAACTTACAAAGGATGTGAAGGACCTCTTCAAGGAGAACTATAAGCCACTGTAACCATTTTTTAAAGTGATCTATAAATACATTTATTGTACTTTATTAGGAGAAAATAACAGTCTTATACCATTATGTAGAGCATGATTTCATTCTTCTAAATGTACTCATGTAAACACATATATATGCACACATAGATCTATAGATATATCTATATCTGATAATCCTAGGTAAGTCAGAAGAGATATACTACATTTCATAACTGAATTGAGTGTCTGTGGAACTCCTATAGCAGAAATCACACTTCATTTGAAACTTCAAAATTCCCATTAAAATTCTGCAGCAATGAAGACGCATAGAAAAAAAAAGAAAGAAAAAGAAAATAAAGTCAGAAACAAGAAGAGAATTCCTCCTGTCATTGCTTCTTGTTCAATAATGCATTGAAAGTTCTAACTGACCGGGCACGGTGGCTCACGCCTGTAATCCCAGCATTTTGGGAGGCCAAGGTGGGCAAATCACGAGGTCCGGAGATTGAGACCATCCTGGCTAACACAGTGAAACCCTGTCTCTACTAAAAATACAAAAAATAAACCAGGCGTGGTGGCGGGTGCCCATAGTCCCAGCTACTCAGGAGGCTGAGGCAGGAGAATGGCATGAACCCGGGAGGCAGAGCTTGCAGTGAGCTGAGATCGCGCCACTGCACTTCAGCCTGGGCAACAGAGTGAGACTCTGTCTCAAAAAAAAAAAAAAAAGTTCTAACCTATGCAGTAAGATAATGATTGAGAGAGATAAAACTGGAAAAGGAAGAGACAAAAATGCCCTTATTTCCCAACAAAATAAGTGCCTTTATATAAAACCCAAGAGATTCAAGAAACTATAAAACTAAAAAAACATTCAGCAAGATGGTAGGGTATAATATGAACATGCAAAAATCAATAGCATTTCTTTCTACCACAAATAAGTTTTAGAAAATGCAATAGAGGCCGAGCGTGGTGGCTCATGCCTGTAATCCCAGCACTTAGGGAGGCTGAGGCGGGCAGATCATGAGGTCAGGAGATTGAGATCATCTTGGCTAACACGGTGAAACCCCATTTCTACTAAAAAATACAAAAAAATAGCTCGTCATGGTGCAGGCGCCTGTAGTCTCAGCTACTCAGGAGGCTGAGGCCGGAGAATCGCTTGAACCTGGGAGGCGGAGGTTGCAGTGAGCCAAGATCCCGCCACTGCACTCCAGCCTGGCAACAGAGCTAGATTCTGTCTCAAAAAAAAAAAGAAAGAAAGAAAGAAAAGAAAAGAAAATGCAATAGAAAATAAGGTTGAAACAGCTATTTTGTTGCTAGGTGCAACAAAACTGTGAGGTACCTAGCAAAAAAAGCAAACAGAAATGGGAGATAGTTACAAAGAATGCAAGAGTGATGTTGTAAGTAAATGGACAGGAAGACATCATTATCAGTGGTCTCAGCTATTTAATGTGAGTTTAATGAAATTCACCTCAAAATCTCAACAGAGTTTTAAATGAAAAATGGTCTTAAAATTCATTTGGAAAACAAATGGACAAGAATAGCTAAACAGTGTGAAAGATGAATAAGGTGAAGGGACTTGCATGCCTGATATTGACTCATTGTAAAGTGCTATATTGTTAGTGATATACAAAAACAGATAAATGAAGCAGACTAGCGAGCCCTGAAATCAATAGATGCATAGATGGAAATTTGTATTTTAGGACAATTGATTATCCATGTGGGAAAAAAATACACTGAATTCTACCTCACATCATACATAAAAGTAAAATGCTAATTGTGAAAAATAAATACTTTTAAACTTTGATAATAACATGTAGAAGAAAAATTTTATGCCTCAGAGTAGGAAATAAATTAATTAGGGTCAAAAAGCACAAACCATAAAGAAAGTACTGGTCATTTTAACTACATTAAAATTTAAATTATATGTTTAACAGAAGACATCATATGAAGCTGAAAGACAAGCCATGGACTGAAGAAAGATATTTGCAAGGCAGATAATAGAAAAGGATTTGTATCTAGAATTTATAAAGAACTTAAATCAATAAGAAAAAGGCTGCTGGGCGCGGTGGCTCACGCCTGTAATCCCAGAACTTTGGGAGGCCAAGGTGGGTGGATCACCTGAAGTCGGGAGTTCGAGACCAGCCTGACCAACATGGAGAAGTCCCGTCTCTACTGAAAATACAAAATTAGCCGGGCATGGTGACGCATGCCTATAATTCCAGATACTCAGGAGGCTGAAGCAGGAGAATTGCTTGAACCCAGCAGGCAGAGGTTGTGGTGAGCCAAGAATCGTGCCATTGTACTCCAGCCTGGGCAACAAGAGCGAAACTCCATCTTCAAAAAAAAAGAAAGAAAGAAAGAAAAAGGCTAACAATCTGATAGAAAAATGGGCACAGAATATTAAGGCAATTCAGACAAAAAAGAAAGTGGTTGATAAATATATGAAAATATGTATAACCTACCTAACTAGTAGAAGTATAGATGCCAGTTAATACCACAATTAGTGATGTCTTCTCACACTCACCCATTCTGCATTCAGACTGTCCTTACTTTGCGTGGTGCTAGGTTAACTGAATCTTATGCCTACAGGAACTACAATTTGAGGATTGCCTATATACTAAAGTCTGATGCTATAGGATTGCTAAGGAAGTGAAACAATGAGAACCCTGATACATCAGTGTTGGGGGAGTAAATCTGTGACATTCACTGCAATGCAAATTGGCAGCATCTAAGAAAGTCACATTCATAGTCTGTGACTGAGTAATTTCACTCTTAGTGTATACACTAAAGAAGCCCCAGCACGTGTGCCAAGGAGACAAATGTAAAAATGTTTATTGCAATATCATTCATAATGGCAATAAAAACAATTTAAATGTCCACCAGTTGGTAAGTTAATAAATAAATCCTCCCAATAGGATACTAGTTGGTAGTTTAACTCGTATAGCAGCTAAAATGAACCAGCCGGGTGCAGTGGCTCACACCTGTAATCCCAGCACTTTGGGAGGCCAAGGCAGGTGGATCACCTGAGGTCAGGAGTTCGAGACAGAGGTGGAGGTTGCAGTGAGCTGAGATGGCGCCATTGCACTCTAGCCTGAGTGACAGAGCAAGACTCTATCTCAAAATAAATAAATAAATAAATAAATTTAGAAAAGACATCTAGAAATTACCAAAACATTACTGCAGACACATTATTAAATATACATATATGTGCTGTATTATTATTTGTAGTAGAGCCCTATGTGTACCTGACCTTGAACTACCCCTGCCTTTTTTTTTTTTTTTTTTTTTTTTTTTGCACTGGGGCTCAATTCCAACTCAGTGTTCAGTTTCTATGGAGAGAGAGGAGGAAACAGAGAACTAGAGTGACCTGGCCAGACTCCCCACAAGGAATTCTTTACATCACTCGCACCATCAATAAAAGTTGCTCTTGGTTTGCAATCCAGCCTTTTCTCCACGGTGAAAGAAGAGATGTCTTTATCGCTTTAATTACCATGACAAGAAGGAAAATTATAGAGTTGTAATATGGTCTTTGGGGGAACAGTCCGCCCTTATGGAGATTTTGGGGGTATGTCTGAAAACTGATTGTTAGAAGAGAAATTTAAAACCGATCAGAATTTTTATAGCACTTCGATATTTATAAACAATACAAAGAATCGCCTCCTCTTTTGTATGATCCTACTTATCTATATAATGAGTGTCCTGAGCCAAGCCCCCAGTTTTGTCTCCTGAAATGAATACATTTCAAAATACCTAGACATTCATCTCATGTAAGCCTCAAATTCAGCCACTGAGATTTTTATCTAGCAAAGGACTTATGTGAAAAGAATGGTAGTGTTTCTTATTTAAGTTCAGGAAAAATCTACTCAGTTTTTACTCAAGAATAGTTTTACTTGTAAGTGACAACATTAGAACTTGTTTTAATCCTAGTTTCATAGAGATTTGTCAAAAGTAAAATTTCAAGCAAATGAATATGAATGCATCTTGTTTCTTTTATCATGAAATCAAATACATGTTTTGAATCTACTAACAGGGTTGTGAGGCTTTTTCTGAACATCTAGCTGCTGTTTCCAAATTAATCTCTTAATTTTGTCTCAGGAAAGAGACACTGAGGTTTGAGAATCCACTTGTGTGGTCTTTTCATTCTGTCCCTGAGTGACACCTATCCTATTCTGCCTGAAGACTTTGCCATTAACTCACCTCCCCAGCTTTGACCCAGTGAATTCTAATGCTTGGTTAAGCCCAAGCTAAAGCCAAGAGGAATTGAGATTGTATTTATTCGAGGGCATTGTTATTTCTGTTTCTTTGCTTTGGTCCCAGGTATTTTTTCCTATTTCAGGTAATGGGGAGAGTGCCAACAATTTCCATTAATAAGACAGAAGGTTGCCACATATACCTCAGTGAAGATGCATTAGACTGTGAGATCGTGAGCGCCAAGTCATCTGAAATGAACATACTTATCCCTCAGGATGGTGATTATGTAAGTACCTTTCAAAAGGCTGTCAAGAATTTTTCTGGAGCCTTCATTATTAACATTCTTAGAGATTGATTAATCAGCTACCAACCTGCGAGCTTTATTTGTAGCATAATTCACAGGCAGGCGAGGAATTCAGGGAGCTGTCTTCCACATCTCTTCCCGCCTATTAGCTTCTTGACTGTACTCACTCCTGGATTTCCGATTCTCAAGGTAGTGTACTAATAATTCATTTAATGGACCAGCGTTTATCAAATAGCACAGCATGCATCTGAGTTCGTATTAGGTAGGACTAAATATTTTCCTTTGCTCTGGTGGAGGTAAACAGGAAAGAAGGAGAAATAAATACTTAGGGGAAAAAATGTGAGGACAGAGAAAAGACAGTAAGTAGGGCTATTTGTGCAGCTATGCTTAAGTGAGAGGTTAAGTGTAAGAATCGGGAAGTTTTATGAAAATGCCAGTTCCCAAATCTTCCAGCTGGAGGTTGGATTCAGGAGGCCTAGAGTAAGGCCCAGGAATCCAGATTTTTAACTGGCATGTATCCCTTAAGTCCATCCAATGGCCCTTCTGAGAAACACTAGCCTAAAAGACTTGGCCACTATTTATTTTCTCAGCTTTCTCTCCTCAACAAAGCACTTTCTCAAAGAACCATACACGTATTCTCACACTTTGAAAAGGGAGTATGAATAAATAAGTACATTTCCTGGTTCATGAAGTGTGATGGATCTGCTAGTTGCTACTTGAAAGTGAGGAAATAAATACAGAGAAGGCCAAGCATGGTGGCTTACCCCTGTAATGCCAGCACTTTGGGAGGCAGAGGCGGGCAGATCACTTGAGGTCAGGAGTTTGAGACCAGCCTGGCCAACACGGCAAAAGCCCGTCTCTACTAAAAATACAAAAATTAGCCGTGTGAATCCCAGCTACTCGGGAGGCTGAGGCAGGAGAATTACTTGAACCCGAGAGGCGGAGGTTGCAGTGAGCTGAGATTGTGCCATTGCATTCCAGCCGGGGCGACAGAGTGAGACTCAGTCACAAACAAACAAACAAACAAAAACAGGGAAAATTCCCTCTAAGTCTGCCTGTGCAGGGAGCCAGTGAACCAGGGAAGGATGGGAGAAAACATAACTTAGCAGGCAAAACATCTGGAAGAGGAGCTCCCTCAGCCTAAGGGGTCAATTGCCAGGGCCTACACAGCAATCAACACACAGGTTGATCTCCTTGAGCAGACGGTGTGACTGCTGCCACATTCTCCCTTCCCCACCTGGCAGTAAGTTCGTCAGCTCTGCTCAGCCACGTGTCATACATTACAGGCCAGAATTCATCATTTCAGTTTAAAAAAACAAAACTCTGCAAGCCTCAGGCCATGCTTTACTAGTAAGTGTGTATGGACAGTCTAACCCTGAGATACAGAAGAGTCCTCTCTTGGGCCCTCCACCTAAAAAAATTCCTGAAGAGCTGATGCCAACAGCTTCAGAGTAGGAGAGTCAAAAATTGGAGGGAGCCCTGGCCTTTGCAGCTGTTTAAGCAGAAGGAAGGCTCAGCTGCATGGGACTGGATCTGCTAAGAAAAGCAGTGGGATTTGGATGAACACTGCAGACTAATGAAGCTGGAATCTATGGGCGTGGGACCCAGGCACCTGTAACTGTTAAAGCTTCCCAGGTGATTCCAGTGGGGAGCCAACATTGAAATCCACCGGCCTAAAGGATGAGTGTAAATCAAAACCTGAGCGTTCATGCTAAAAACCAAGGTCTTGGCCGCGTGCTGTGGCTCACGCCTGTAAATGCCAGCACTTTGGGAGGCCGAGGCGGGCAGATCACGAGCTCAGGAGATCAAGACCATCCTGGCTAACACAGTGAAACCCCATCTCTACTAAAAATACAAAAAATTAGCTGGGCGTGGTGGCACACGCCTGTAGTCCCAGCTACTCAGGAGGCTGAAGAAGGAGAGTCACTTGAACCTGGGAGGCAGAGGTTGCAGTGAGCTGAGATCACGCCACTGCACTCCAGCCTGGGCAACACAGCAAGACTCCATCTCAAAAAAAAAAAAAAAACAAGATCTTGCCTCTTACAGGTCAATTACCTTGTGGCCCTCTTCACATGTTCTCGGTTGGAGCTGGTAGGGAACAACACAGAGGACCTGCCATGGGCATTATGGTGTGGGAATGGATGGAGGAGATGATTCGTCCTGAAAGAAATTGGTCTCCCAGAGAAGACTCGTTAGCATATTACTAACCCCTCACAGCCAGGAACAGATTTGGGACAGCTGTTGTGCAATTACTATCAAAGAGGTGCCTTCATCTGGCACATTCTCTACTTGGCCTGGTTCTTGAGAACAAACACCAAGCCTCATCTACCCATCCAGAAGAGCCCCAGAAGGAATATTGGCTGCACAAACACACACGTTATTCAGATTGTGGGTTCTTTACTTCAAGATTTTTCCATTGCAGATTTTACTCAAGAAGAATACATCACTCATTATAGCATGGGCTTTGCCTTTTATTTTATTTATTTGTTTGTTTGTTTGTCTGAGACAGGGTCTTGCTCTGTTGACCAGGCTGGAGTGCAGTGGTGCGATCATGGCTCACTGCAACCTCGACCCCCCGGGCTCAATCGATCTTCCTGCCTCAGCCTCTCAAGTAGCTGGGACTACAGGCGTGTGCCACCACACCCTGCTAATTTTTGTATGTTTTGTAGAAACAGTGTCCCTGAGGATAGGCAGAGACAATGGAGAGGGTGGGATTACCATCCCCACTCCTGGGAATCCTTCCCTGCAACTCTGCCAAAAGAGATACCAAATCAGAGTGGCTCTTCAGCAGCACTACACTGTGTAAGGCTTGTCCTTATACAGTGGGGTCTCGCTATGTTGCCCAGGCTGGTCCCGAACTTCTGGGCTCAGAGGATCTGCTGGCATCAGCCTCACAAAGTGCTGGGATTACAGGTGTCAGCCACCGTGCCTGGCCCAGGCCTTTCCTTTTGAATGAATGAATGGCTTCATCCCAAAGAAACAGTTGGATCCTACATCTAGGAAGATAGGTACCCATGTGTGTTCCATGGAAACACCACAGCTCATGATCATGGGCATCAGCTTATCAGACACATGAGGTTTCAATGAGCACCGCATGGACTGGAAGTCCGAGGAGGCCCAGAAGACAGGTCCAAGGCCTCCTTGCCTTAGAGAGGTTTTCTATCTTCTTCTGAAGGTCTCTGTCCTTCTTCCTTGCCTTGGAGGAGGTCTTCTATCCTCTTCTGAAATGACTGGAGAATCACTGTCTGGGAAAGCAGAGTGTTGACTTAGACTACTTTTATTTTGACTATTCTCTATTATTCTTTGTCTGTACGTGTGTGTACGTGTATTTTCCAATGGGAGAAGTAGAGTGCCTTGGTGAAGGGTAACCAACGTGTATATAACCCTAGGCTCATTTTTACAATTTATCAAAGAGTAGAGAGCTACCTCTGGGATAAAACCTTTCTACTCCATGTGATTGGAACCAGCAGCATTGGCATCACCTGGGAGCTTGTTGGAAATGCAGATTCTCATTCCATTCCCCAGACCTACTGAATCAGAATCTGCATTTTCATAAGATCCTGAATCAGAATCTGCATTTTTTTTTTCTGAGACAGAGTTTTGCTCTTGTTGCCCAGGCTGGAGTGCAATGGCGCAATCTCGGCTCACCACAAGCTCTGCCTCATGGGTTCAAGTGATTCTCCTGCCTCAGCCTCCCGAGTAGCTGGGATTACAGTCATGCGCCACCACGCCCGGCTAATTTTGTATTTTTAGTAGACACGGGGTTTCTCCATGTTGGTCAGGCTGGTCTCGAACTCCCAACCTCAGGTGATCCACCCACCTTGGCCTCCCAAAGTCCTAGGATTACAGGCATGAGCCACAGAGCCCAGCCAGAGAGAATCTGCATTTTAATAAGATCCTGGGTCAGAATCTGCATTTTATTATTATTATTATTATTTTATTTTATTTTATTTTTTGGAGATGGAGTTTTCACTTTTGTTGCCCAGGCTGGAGTCCAGTGGCATGATCTCGGCTGACCGCAACCTCTGCCTCCTGGGTTCAAGCGATTCTCCTGCTTCAGCCTCCCGAGTAGCTGAGACTACAGGCGCATGCCACCATTCCTGGCTAATTTTTTGTATTTTTTTAGTAGAGATAGGGTTTCACCATGTTGGCCAGGCTGGTCTCGAACTCCTGACCTCAGGTGATCCCCCTGCCTTGGCCTCCCAAAGTTCTGAGATTACAGGCTTAAGCCACTGCACCCGGCCAGAATCTGCATTTTCATAAGATCCCAGTTGATTCATGTGCATGTTAAAGTTTAGTGGAGAGTAGTAGGTAAGATAGAGCGCAGATTTGAATTCTAGCTGCGCTGTTACTGGCCACATCATTTGGGGCCAGTTGCTTACTCTCAGGCCTCTGTTTCCTACAGATGGCATCCCCAAGAACTCCTAGCTCATAGGGTTATTATAGGAGATCTGCTGAGTTCATCTATCTCCAGTGCTTAGAAGGATGCCTGGTTCATTCTAAATGATGCTTTTAGCTTTAATGATGATACTGGCTTGAAGTCACAGAACTGACACATGACATACACAAGTCTCCACGTGACAAAGACCTCCCCATGACGCAGCTTGCAATTCGATCGAATTTCTTTGCCTATCATGTGGCACAAATCAGCCTCACCATCTGTTTGCAAAAGGAAGCCTTAGTTTAAATAACTTTGTTGTAGTTTAAATAACTTTGTTGTTCTTGCCTTTTTCCAGAGAGAATTTCCCATTCCTGAACAGTTCAAGACAGCATGGGATGGATCCAAGTTAATCACTGAACCTGCAGAAATTATGGCCTAACTTCCTGAGAGACCGAACCCCCTCACCTGAATCCCCCTCTATCAAACAAACAAAAAAGCAGCAGTAAAGAGCTAGAAGTTGCAGTAGCCCCTACTGCTTTAGCTTTGGCCTCCAACGATTCTGTGCTATAGATACAGCACTGTTTCTGGCACGCCTCGTGGGCATTTTGAAATATTTAACGTTTCCTCATGATTTGCCTTTGTGTGTGATTTTAGTTCCACATGATGACTTGTGAACATTAGGGATTTAAAGGAAAAAAAAAAAGAATTCTGTTCCCCTCATATCATGAACACAGTAACTGATAGGTAAAAAGACTGCATGATTCACTTTTACACTTATATTTCATTGCTAGTTAAAAAATAAAACCTTTGAGAATCTAAGATGTACATTTTTACCTTTTAGGCAATTTCAATATAATGTAGAAGTAGTAGTGTGCCCTGAAAAATGTACACGTTTTTTCTTATTGTTACCACATGTTCACCTTTATCAGCGTGGATACTGTCAGCATGAGTACATATTTCAACCCACGCTTGTAAAAGACATAAGAGTTTATAAAGGACCAAATTCAGTTCCTTGGTCCTTGGAAGACCTATATTCTCTGTAGTTACTGAAAACCGAAAGTCAATTCTAATTATTCATCTTACATATTTTTCCACCATGTCATTTGAAAACTTGCTTTTCTTCTGCATAAGAGATTCTTATGCCAAAAACATTAAACAGAAGAAATCATTTTTTTTGCTATGTAATACCTCGCAACTTTGCTCTAAAATCAAGCTCAGTTATTATTTTCCAAGTTTGAACATGTTAAATATCAGATGCCTTGTAAATTATGTCTTTAACGTTTTCTTATAGACTAATTTCCTCTTTTCCACCTGCCAGACTTGCTAACCAAGCTCGAAAATGAACATGAAAAAGCCATACATGTATTATTTCTCCTAAAACCTAAGGCATTATCTGTTGGTTTGGCTTGCTGCTCCTATTTTGTAGTCTTGATAGTAGATGCTTCTTCAGCGTAAGAGTAGCTATGATATTCCTTTTTATCTTTTCAGTACATAGTGCTGAAAAATCTGCAACTTCTTGGATCATATTTAATGAATTATAGTATAATGCTTGCAGGCCCAGTACAAGCATATATATTGTGCCTCTTACAGCCTTTGGAATACATTGTTTCCATTTTTTAAATATCTTCTATATCCATATAGTATTCAAATTATTAATGCTCATGTACCAAGGTTTTGCTATAAAAGTTTTGTCTGTATGAATAATGTGGCTTTAGTAAATAATCATTTTTCAACTGTAAACTTATTCTGAAATAAAGTAAAATTCTAATTGTTTAAATACTGTGATGAATTCTGGATGTTAAAATGATTTCTTTTCTACTTTGATTTGCTCCTTGCTCATGTGTCAGACTTAGAAAAGACAGCTGACTCCTTCGGGTTGAATTAGAGAATTTATCCAGCATGCCATCAGCTTCCCTGATGAATGATGTCTCCTTTGAGATAGATATCAGATAAAGCCATTTGCAATTGGATTTACTGTCAGAAAATTCTAGAATTCAGTTTTGTAAATCAAGTCCTCTTTACTGAGAAAATCCTGCTCGCAGATCTTTGTTAATGTAAACATCCCAGAACATAAGTGATTTTATAAATACCATATATACCTTATAAACATATAACTATAAATAGCATAATAAATGTATAAGTAAACTCCTAAAAGAAAAAAACTGAGAACATCCTAAAATGGATATATTATATACCCATAATATAGTGATAATTTTGTATTGAGAAATAAATCCACCCATAATTCTTAGAATCTGTCAGCTTGCCTCATACTTGACATCAGTCTTTCAGCATGCCTCACCATATGTATTGAAAATCTGGACTTGAGGCTCAACGATTACTTTACCAGCCCTGTATCCCTTAAGCCAGGGATCCCCAACCCCCGAGCTGTGGACTGGTAGCTGGTCCGTGGCCTGTTAGGAACTGGGCGGCAAAGCAGAAGATGAAGGGCTGGCGAGCCAGAATTGTCACCTGAGTTCCACCTCCTGCCAGATCAGCCACAGCGTTAGATTCTCATAGGAGTGTGAACCCTGGTGTGAACTGTGCACGCGAGGGATCTAGGTTGCGTGGTCCTTATGAGCACCTAAGGCCTGATGATCTGAGGTGGAACAGTTTCATCTCGAAATTATGCACCACCCCCCCACCCTGTCTGTGGAAAAGTTGTCTTCCACAAAACCGGTCCCTGGTGCAAAAAGCTTGGGGACCACTGCCTTAAACCATCTACTTAAGTAACATAAGAGTAGGTTGAATTTGTTGAAAAACCTTTGGCAATGTATAAGCAATTACCAAAAACAATGCTGCATCACCAGTGTGCCTTGTTTCTTGCACCATTTGAATTCCTGTGTTACCAGTGCTGTGACCTAATTAATATTGTAAACGCATTAAGAAATCTGTACTTAGCACAATTGCTGTCACATCCATTCCCAAAAAGTCAAAATGAAAATCAGTGTCAGGGCCGGGCGTGGTGTCTCACGCCTGTAATCCCAGTACTCTGGGAGACCGAGGTGGGCAGATCACTTGAGGTCAGGAGTTCAAGACCAGCATGGCTAACATGGTGAAACCCCGTCTCTACTAAAAAAAAAATACAAAAATTAGCCAGGTGTGGTGGCACATGCCTGTAACCCCAGCTACTTGGGAGTCTGAGGCAGGAGAATCGCTTTAACCCAGGAGGTGGAGGTTGCAGTGAGCCACGATTGCGCCACTGCACTCCAGCCTGGGTGACAGAGCAAGACTTTGCCTCAAAAAAAAAAAAAAGCCTGGGTGCAGTGGCTCATGCCTGTAATCCCAGCACTTTGGGAGGCTGAGGCAGGTGGATCACGAGGTCAGGAGATCGAGACCATCCATACTAACACGGTGAAACCCCGTCTCTGCTAAAAATACAAAAAGTTGGCCAGGCATGGTGGCAGGCGCCTGTAGTGCCAGCTACTCCAGAGGCTGAGGCAGGAGAATCGCATGAACCCGGGAGGCGGAGCTTACAGTGAGCCGAGATTGCGTCACTGCACGCCAGCCTGGGCAACAGAGTGAGACTCCATCTCAAAAAAAAAAAAAAAAAAAATCAGTGTCAGAAAATTAAGTGCCAAGGGTCTCCTATATCTCGTTACTTTGTAGCATTACAGGATAAAAGTGACAATTCAAAAGAGGCCTTTGTTGTGTTGAAAATTCATTTTTTGATAATACTCTCCCCTTAGATAATCTATTACTGATAGTCGACCTCTCACAGCAAGCCATCTTGAAGTACGGCTTCAATTCCAACCACTCCTCCCTACATATAGAACTGGCAAGAAATAGGTATAGTTTGATTCACTTATTCTCTCCTTCATTGAAAATGTCTGCTGCAACTTCTTAGACTCTAGATGGGTTTATCTAGGGGATCCCTTCATTTTAAAGATGAGAAAGCTGAGACCCTGGGCTAGAACACAACGCACACCTTTGTATAACTACTGTAGTTTAGCTTCTAGTCTCAACATATGCCTCAGTCTCAGAGGTCATCAATCCAGTGGCTTCATCTCATCCTTCATCAGTTGAGATTCTCGACACTGCCTTCATCTTATTAAACTCTCTCTGATGTTGTGATTTACGATGTGCTTCTCTGGCTCCCTTCCCTCCTACCTTTTTTGTTTCCCTCTCAAATGCTCAAATACCTAATTTCAATACCTCTATGTAGATGACTCCCAAATCCACATTCCCAGCCCAAATCCACCTCCCCAGAGCCTTCACTCCCAAGTGTCCACAGAGTATTTCTACCTTCCTGTCCCAAACTCATGCAACATGGCTAAAATTAATGCACATCTCCCACACATATCTATCTATTCCTTATCTGCCTTTCCAGTTTCAGTCAATGGCCCCCTCACATTTATCATAGATTAAAAACCAGCCATTTGCTGTAATAAAAAATATGAAAGAGGCCAGGCACAGTGGCTCACGCCTGTAATCCCAACACTTTGGGAGGCCAAGGTGGGCAGATCATGAGGTCAGGGGTTTGAGACCAGTCTGGCCAACATGGTGAAACCCCATCTCTACTAAAAATGAAAAAATTAGCCAGGCTTGGTGACACACACCTGTAATCCCAGCTACTGGGGACGCTGAGGCAGGAGAATTGCTTGAACCCAGGAGGTGGAAGTTGCAGTGAGCCGAGATCGTGCCACTGCACTCCAGCCTGGGTGACAGAGTAAGACTCTATCTCAAAAAAAAAAAAAAAAAATGGCCAGGTGCGGTGTCTCACACCTGTAATCCCAGCACTTTGGGAGGCCGAGGCAGGTGGATCACCTGAGGTCAGGAGTTCGAGACCAGCCTGGTCAACGTGGTGAAACCCCATCTCTACTAACAATACAAAAATTAGCCGGGCATGCTGGTAGGTGCCTGTAATCCCAGCTACTCAGGAGGCTGAGGCAGGAGAATTGCTTGAACCTGGGAGGCGGAGGTTGCCGTGAGCTGAGATCATGCCATTGCACTCCAGCCTGGGCGACAAGAGAAAAACTCCGTCTCAAAAAAAAAAAGCAAAAAAACCCAAAAAAACATGAAAGAGAATCAGATCTTAGAGAAACCATGGTTCAGTCTTGAACACGTTTGATGCACGTTGTCTCTGTGACATTTAATTGGAGATGGAGAGTAAGCAGTTGGATATGTGAACCCCAAAATACTGAGACAGGTCTCAGTTAATTTAGAAAGTTTATTTTGCCAAGGTTGATGACACGCACCCATGACACAGCCTCAGGAGGTCCTGACAACATGTGCCCAAGGCAGTCAGACCAGTTTGGTGTTATACATTTTAGGGAGACATGAGACGTCAGTCAACATATGTAAGATGAACATTGGTTTGGTCTGGAAAAGCAAAGAGGGGGCTTCCACGTCATAGGTAGATGCATATCTACCTATGCATTTGTAGAGACAAATGGTTACATTCTTCTGAGTTTTTGATTAGCATCTCCAAAGGAGGCAATCAGATATGCATTTATCTCAGTGAGCAGAGGGGTGACTTTGAATAGAGTGGGAGGCAATTTTGCCCTAAGCAGTTCCCAGCTTTGACTTTTCCCTTTAGCTTAGTGATTTGGGGGGCCCAAGATATTTTCCTGTCACATTTCCCCCATTTTCTTTTTTAAAATCTTTTGGATAAAGCATTTTAGAAGAAAATGAGTCTCTAGTCTCTGGTTTCATCTGATTTATCATGGCTAGGATGGTTTATTCCTAGATAGGCAGTTCTTGAGTTATTAAGAAAGCTCGTTTTTGAAGATTATGAAGTCTCATGTCCTATGAAGATAAAATAGGGGGAGGAAGGAAGAAAACAACAACCAGAGCAATCCTGGAAAATCGATATAGGCCACATTACTCTGAAGTCCATACCGCAGTAAGCAGGTATGAAAGTGGCTTATGTATGTAAATAGGTTACAGTTATTTTCTTCCGAGATTTAAGTTGTCTAGCTTTAGTTTGCAGGGCTTTACGAAAGCACAGCTTAGTTTTCAGTGACTTCAAATTAGAAAAATTGGGGGAAAAAAAAGAAAAAAATTGAAAACATTATTTTGAAGACTTGTAGCCAAGAAAAATTAGAATTCTGTCCAAATTGTAGAAAATAATAAAAATTGAAAAACATTAGGCAAGACTAGAATCTAACAAAAGTATATTATAGTTTTTAAAACATAATTTTTCTCTCTCCTGTTTCTCATTTTTACTAAAGACAAACCATGGTAGGACTGGTTTGCTTTATTATACTTGGCCTAATTATTTGTATACAGCACAGCAAGAATGATTATTTTTTACATAGACTTTTAAATTGGCCTTGATGGAATGTTGTTCCATAGAAGGAATCCCAGATAAGACTTTTTTAAAGCCAAGCCCAGCCATGGATTTGTATCATCAAATACTTATGAGTTGGGTGAATTCCTCTCCACCTGAGGTTCCAGTATAAACTTGGGGCTCCTGGGCCTGTCAGAAAGTGGCATTCTTTACTTAGCACAGGTCAGGAACCCTGTACAGGGACTGTGTAGACAAAGAAATGAGGCCTGTTTTTCAAGGGGCTTTTATTGGCTCCATAAGTCAAGTTTGATTTCTTAAAGGAAAGCACACCATTCCAGACAAAGCCTTGGTAAAATAACCAGTTTCTCCAATTGTGTCCTATTACAAATGAAAACAGATTCTTACTGCACTTACGCAAATAACTGTATTGTCATAAGTTAAGAATACTCACAAATAGTTGCCAAATTCTGTAGAAATCAGGTAGAGAGAAACAAATATGCTCCAAATTTTGTTCATGGAAGTATACTTTACTCAATTGTTAAAAGCTGTAAATAGCTTAAAGGAAAGTTTTCTCGACTCTGAAAAACAAACAAAAAAAGGTTCAGCAATGTTTTAAGTAAAAAGTTAAAAAGATTACTGCAGACTTCTATTAGTTTATCTATGCAGTCAATTCTGTTCTGCTTGATATTTATGAACATTTCAGCTTTCCATGAGTCCTGAAAGTTGTTCTTCTCTCCTGATGTTACAATCTTCAAAGTTATCAGAAACCTGCATTCAAGAACACCTGTTCGAGTCTTATAGCTGATTATAAAACCACCTTCTAGAGAGGACCAAAACAAAACAATTTTCTGTGGATGACAAAAAGTGTTAAGGCAGCCATAGTCAAAGTCACAATTTACAAGGAAATTTGTTACCTCTGTGGCACACAATAATTTAACTTAACAATTACTGATAACATACATTAAGTCATGTCAGAATTTTAGGAGTTTCCCATTATTTTGGAACACATACCAATAACATAGTTATACAAATACAGCCCAAAGAAAACCAAACACCATTTTATATTTGGCAATGCTTCCTGTATAATTTTTGTACCAAATAAACCAAATATGTCATTTTTTAGACTTTAGGGAACCTATTAAGAATATCTTAAAGGATTAATTAGGTCAGTAAAAGACATAATTTATAATTTGATTTTGGAAGTTTGTCAAATACCAAAGGTTTAAAACATTTTATATAGGTTGGGCACGGTAGCTCATGCCTGTAATCCCAGCATTTTGGGAGGCCAAGGAGGGCAGATCACAAGGTCAGGAGATTGAGACCATCCTGGCTAACATGGTAAAACTCTGTCTCTACTAAAAATACAAAAAATTAGCCAGGTGTGGTGACATGCGCCTGTAGTCCCAGGTACTCGGGAGGCTGAGGCAGGAGAATCGCTTGAACCCAGGAGGTGGAGGTTGCAGTGAGCCGAGATCATGCCACTGCACTCCAGCCTGGGCAACAGAGCAAGATTCCGTCTCAAAAAAAAAAAAATTTGATATTACAAAATAGGATCACAGGTCATTGTAAAATAAGTCATTCATTTAATCAAAGTGATAACTCAAGGACTTCAAAACAAGGCAAAAACTTTCATTCTTTGACAGAGGAGACTTAATTTTTCAAACAATAAGCCCTCATAAATACAGCATGAAGCCAATTAAATTTGTTGTCCAAAATTTTATAAACAATCTATAAAAGTTTCATCTGATCTGATCATAACATATAACTTCCATAAACCTTTATACCCTTTATAATCCTTATTAAGGAGTAAGTTAATGCCAAGAAAACTTTGTTAATCTGACACAGGGGCCCATATGCTGGTCTTACATCAGTGTGCCTTTCACATTAATTATTAATCTATAGAGAAACTGAACTTATTTTATGTCTCAAAATTGGCCCTTACAATCTCTTATGACCACCTCTTCTGCAATATGCCCTGGGCCTTGAAGAGTTGAATAGCTTTAATTTCTGGCCCTGTGTCTCAAGAATGCAGTTTATTTTGATTGGCATCTTCTACTGGGCCTAAAGACAAGGCTTTAATTGCCATCAGTGTTTAAGATTTAGCAGGATTTGCTGTTCTTTTTAGACCCAGGAGTCAAAGCCCTGTGACTCAATGTCACAAAGACTTTAAAAGCACATACAGGAGACACAAGGAGGTAACAACCTTAATTACCTTAATTTAAAAAAAAAGTGTTTAAATCTCTGTTTTTCCTAAGCAAACCAAACTTAATAATAGTGGCATAAGAATTATTTCAATAAAACATAAAATCTGTTAGGCCAGTTACCAAAAGACAAAAGAAAAGACCTTCTACAGTGCACAGAATATAATGCTGGAAGAAAACGTTTCCTTTAGATCTTTAAGAAAACATTGTTACCATCAGGCCAAAACAAACAGAACAGAACTCAAGGGGGAAAAAAAAAGACTCATATGAGCCGAAAATGAGTTGAAGGAGAGTGTTACTATTTCGTGGCTTTTAAAAGTGAAGAGAACACCCAAACTGGTGACATGCAATAAAAGTTGAACTTTGGGTTAAAATTTTAAAAATTAAAATCTCTTATAATTTATTGCATAAGGTCAGGCACAGTGACTCACACCTGTAATCCCAGCACTTTGGGAGGCCAAGGCGGGTGGATCATGAGGTCAGGAGATTGAGACCATCCTGGCTAACACAGTGAAACCCTGTCTACTAAAAATACAAAAAATTACCTGGTTATGGTGGCGGGTGCCTGTAGTCCCAGCTACTCAGGAGGCTGAGGCAGGAGAATGGCAACCCAGGAGGCGGAGCTTGCAGTGAGCCGAGATCACACCACTGCACTCCAGCCTGGGTGACGGAGCGAGACTCTGTCTCAAAAAAAAAAAAAAAGATAATAATAATAATAATTTATTGCATAAATCAACCCCTTAAGAAAACTTCATTGTTCTAACCAATTATACATGTAGAAGTGTTTTTTTTAACATCAAACCCAATCCCTAGAAAGACCATTATAGTTTCCCCTTAATCATAGACAACTTGATCATATGAAAGTTTTTGGTGTTTTTGTTTTCTTTTTTTCTTTTTATTTTGAGACAGAGTCTTGCTCTTGTCTCCCAGGCTAGAGTGTAATGGCACAATCTCAGCTCACTGCAACCTCTGCTTCCTGGGTTCAAGTGATTCTCCTGCCTCAGCCTCCCAAGTAGCTGAGATTAAGGCACGTGTTACCACGCCTGGCTAATTTGTATATTTTTAGTAGAGATGGTTGCCATGTTGGCCAGGCTGGTCTCAAACTCCTGACCTCAGGTGTTTGACCTCCGCCCACCTTGGCTTCCTAGAGTGCTGGGATTACAGGCATGAGCCACTGTGCTGGGCCTGGTGTTTTTTTTAAATACATCTTCTTACTGTGACTTTCACAGAACATTCATGACATGCTTGGGCTTTCTGGTTTGTCCTGAACATGTCTCTTTCTTAAACAACCAGTCATTTTACTCTAGGGCTAAATTTACCACACAAAATTCTTTCTCATATGAAATTATTACTCTTTAAACTTTCTTACCAAAAAAAAAAAAAATCTTTATATTTATAACTTTTGTTACATCTCTTTTATTTCCTGGTTCTTTTTACCTTGTTTTATACATGACCTTTAAATAAGCTTTGAATTAGACAAAAATTGTTCACCTTTTTAAAAAGAAACACTTTTGTTAAGAAAGAATGTTTTCTGGCCAGGCGCAGTGGCTCACACCTGTAATCCCAGTACTTTGGGAGGACGAGGCAGGTGGATCACTAGGTCAAGAGATTAAGACCATCCCTGCCAACATGGTGAAAGCCGGTCTCTACTAAAATTATAAAAATTAGCTGGGTGTGGTGGTGCATGCCTGTAGTCCCAGCTACTCAGGAGGCTGAAGCAGGAGAATCACTTGAACCCAGGCAGTGGAGGTTGCAGTGTGCTAAGATCATGCCAGTGCACTCCAGCCTGATGACAGAGCAAGACTCCTTCTCAAAAAAAAAATGTTTTCTTACAAATATATTTTTATTGAAAAATAACCAAATAATGAAATATCTCTTATTTAATTTAATATAACTTTAAATTCTAAAGTATGATGAGTTTTTCTGCAAGTATTTATCCTATTACATTTACCTAATTATTTTATTTTAATCATTTACCTAGATTATGTATAAAAACTGTAATTTCATTATTTAAAGTTATAGAACCACCATAACTTTGCAAAATTATAACTGCGACAGTGAAAAAGATTTGTCCTAACTGACTCCATCTTGCTTCTAACCTCCAAGCTGTCCTTGTTCATTCCTGGGTGTAGGCTGAACTAACTTTGGGAGGAACTTAGTTTATAGTTTAGCTTTGGAACAAAGATGATGACAGTCCTTTCTCAAAACCAACCTTAATGCCTGTGGACTAGACTGCCTAAAGCCACAAGATTAGAAGTTATGGTAGTCTGACTAAATTCAAGATGTTGCTATTTTTATTAAACCTGTGTCAATATCTTATTTATTAAATATTACACAAGCAAAGATCATTCTGTCTTGGGCTGGATTTACAGTTTTGTAACCCCTGTGCCAAATTTTGACACCTTACAGTATTTGGCAGGGATAAGTATGAAATTGCTTGATTAACAAATGCAAACAAAAATGTATGCTGGCAATTCTTAAGACATTTCTAAAATTACCTATAATTTTCAAGCTAGCTTATTTATTAAAGATTTTATTTAAGTTATGTAAACTTGAAAAAGCATTTGACTAGTCTTTTTTTGTGTGATAAACTATTTGATTCAAGTGCTTTTATTTTCTTAAGCCAATTAACTAGAGCTCTTTTATATATTTTCAGTTGTGAAACATTGTGTACACAACACATAAATACATAGATGTATTAGGCATGCCAATAGAAGTACATCTTACAGATTTATGAAAACCTTTTTTTTTTCCTATCTTAGACTTTCAGATTCTTGATAACCTGTTTCACAACTCTAGGCAGTTGTCAGCTAAATAGCCTTAAATTTTCATATTAAAGGAAACAACTCAGGTGCAAATCAAATGGCAAAATTTACCTCATAAGGTACAGAGAGAAAAAGTCTGGTGATGCTAGAGGGAGATTAAAAATCTAATCATTTATTTGATCAAATCAAACATAAAGTTGCAGAAATCTATCATAGGATTGTATAAGGAGACCAATTTTATTTAGATAGGGACTACCTATCTTTTAAGTGGATCTCTGAGCTCTGGGCAGAGCCCACACTGAATCCTGGGTCTACAAAAAGGAAGAATTATTGAGGTTAGACCATGTGATGCTTTTACAGTGACTTAAAAAAAAAACTTTTTTAAGCAAAGACATTTCTAAGTGTCTAAACCACACACTTTCTTAAAATCCAAGAGTAACCTCTGTTGCAATAACTATTTTAGTCAAAAAACCAAAAAAAAACCAACAAAAAAAACAGGTAACACAATATAAAAGTAAGGAGCTTAAGAACTGAGACGAACTTGGCCGGGCGTGGTGGCTCACACCTGTAATCCCAGCATTTTGGGATCCTGAGGTGGGCAGATCACGAGGTCAGGAGATCAAGACCATCTTGACCAACGTGGTGAAACCCCATCTCTACTAAAATACAAAAAATTAGCCAGGCGTGCTGGCACACACTGGTAGTCCCAGCTACTGATGAGGTTGAGGCAGGGGAATCACTTGAACGCGGGAGGCAGAGGTTGCAGTGAGCCACTGCACTCCAGCCTGGGTGACAGAGTGAGACTCGGTCTCAAAAAAAAAAACAAAAACAAAAACAAAAAAACTGAGACGAACTTATCAGTTTACATTCTTGGGGTTCCATAAGGAAAAACAGGTTTCTCCCCCAAAGGGAGTCTGGCGGCGCCTTCTCCATTTTCTTTAAGGAACCTGAGGCTGTTATAAACTATTTTAGGTCCCCCATGCAGCAGACGGTGCAAGAAAAAGGAGAGACAGCATAAGTAAATGAAGAAACCAGAATTCAGCCAACTGAGAAGAAAAAACTTTTGCTCAAAAAAAACACAAGGTCTTAGGAGAAAAACAAAAACAAAAACATGAAAGCCTTTTAAATACAAACACACACATATGCACACACACACACACACACACACACACACATCTTGGATGTTAGTTTTTAATTAAGCTGACTTTTAACCATTGAGTTCCTTTAGAAAAAATCTTTTTAAAATCTCATTACCATATTTCAGCTAGGACAAATTGCTGCTATTTCAGAAGTACAGCCACTGCTCTTTTAGTTTGGCCTGGCTAGCAAAAAAAAAGTGGACTTGTAAATAAAGCTCCTTATTAGTCAAAATCAAAAATCTTTCCTCTTTTTTTTTTCCTTCTGCTAGTCATTTTCTTCCCCCAACCACACCACCTTTTTTGTGTGTGTGGTGGGGTGGTGGAATTTAGCCACTTCAGAGGCCTTGTTCCCCAAAATTAGGAGGAACTTCCTTCAGATTTGATCAAGTCGGATAGAGTTGATCAAACCCAATGGGAAAAAGACCAAAACAACAACAAAAAACAGGTAAGCAAAACAAATGATCGCACAACTTACATCATTACTGAGCACTCTAATCGTAAGGAGAAATTAAGACCAGCTGATTGTTAATTTTAACTTTAACTGAGACAAAGCCCAATGCAGTTACTTACCTAGGGATGGTTCTCAGGCTGTAGACTGCTCTCTACCACCCTAGAAGCAGGAAAAAAAACCCTCATCTTCCCTGTTGAAAGCAAGCTCAAACTCCATAAAGGAGTTAACTGCCTTCCATCATCACGGAAGCAGGACAAACTTGCCTTCTTTGTGGTGGAAACAAGTAAAACTCCAAAAAAAAAGGAATTTTATGGCCAGGTGCAGTGGCTCACACCTGTAATCCCAGCACTTTGGGAAGCCAAGGTGGGTGGATCATCTGAAGTCAGGAGTTTGAGACCAGCCTGGCCAACATGGTGAAAAGTCTCTAATAAAAATACAAAAATCAGCCAGGTGTGGTGGTTCACGCCTGTAATCCCAGCTACTTGGGAGACTGAGGCAGGAGAATTGCTTGAACCCAGGAGGCAGAGGTTGCAGTGAGCTGAGATCACGCCACTGGAATCCAGCCTGGGCAACAGTGCAAGACTCCGTCTCAAAAGAAAAGAAAAGAAAAGGAATTTTATAGCAAAATAAACTTTAGCTCTCGATCCAATTTTGGGAGATCAGGGATTCTCTAGAGGAGGTGCTTCCAGGCATCAGCAAATTGTCCTATTGGTTTGAGCCATAAAGATAGCTCAGGCTGGTACCAAGCACCAATAGATTTGTCAAAGGTCAGGAGCACTTCTACTCAGAATCTCTTCATGGTTACCAAATGTGAATCCCAAAAATCTGAGACAAGACAAGTCTCAGTTCATTTAGATAGTTTATTTTGCCAAGGTTGAGGACGCATGCCTGTGACATAGTCTCAGGAGGTCCTGACAACATGTGGCCAAGGTGGTCAGACCACAGTTTGGTTTTTAACATTTTAGAGAGACATGAGACATCAATCAATATATGTAAGATGAATACTGGTTTAGTCTGGAAAGGCGGGACAACTCAAAGCCTCATAGCAGGGAGGGGGCTTCCAGGTGATAGGTAGATAAGAGACAAATGGTTGCATTCTTTTTTTTTTTTTTTTTTTTTAGATGGAGTCTTGCTCTTGTCGCTCAGGCTGGAGTGCAGTGGCTCCATCTCGGCTCACTGCAAGCTCCGTCTCCCAGATTCAAGTGATTCTTGTGCCTCAGCCTTCCTGAGTAGCTGGGATTAGAGGCTACCACCATGCCTGGCTAATTTTTGTATTTTTAGTAGAGACAGGGTTTCACCATGTTGGCCAGGCTGGTCTCAAACTCCTGACCTCAGGTGATCCACCCACCTCAGCCTCCCAAAGTGCTGGGATTACAGGCGTAAGCCACTGCAGGTTGCATTCTTTTGAGTTTCTGATTAGCGTCTCCAAACGAGGCAATCAGATATGCATTTATCTCAGTGAGCAGAGGGGTGACTGAATAGAATGGGAGGCAGGTTTGCCCTGAGCAGTTCCCAGCTTGACTTTTTCCTTTAGCTTCGTGATTTTGGTGGCCCAAAATATTTTCCTTTCACAGATCTATGGATCTGGAGCCTTCCCTTGTCTTCTATACCAAATACTTAGGAATTATTGCATAAACTTAATAGTCCAAAAGTGAATTTCATTAAAAATGTTCATTTCAAAAGAATTATTTTAAACCATTGGCACTTTCAGCACCACTTCAGATACAGATGCAATTTCAAGGGCTTTAATTGCTTCAACTAAGACAAGCTGATTTTATAATCTGTCACAGATTTATTTTGCATATTTAACCATTTCAATGTTTCTGTACATGATGCAGCTTGTATCTGTGCTACAAGTGAAGAGTAAGCCAGCTCAAATTTCTCCAAATGGTTTTTGTTCCCCTACTGTTTGCTTAGTAACTTGGCACAGAGTATACAACTAACAAAGGGCAATGTTTGCCTGTTAGAGAATTTTTTTTCAGTTTCCCTCCAATACAAGGTATTATTATTTTTTGAGACAGAGTCTCACTCTGTTGCCCAGGCTGGAGTGCAGTGGTGCAATCTCGGTTCACTGCAACCTCTGCCTCCCAGGTTCAAGCAATTATCCTGCCTCAGCCTTCCGAGTAGCTGGAGCTACAGGCGCACACCACCACGCCTGGCTAATTTTTGTATTTTTATTAGAGATGCGGTCTCACCATATTGGCCAGGCTGGTCTCAAACTCCTGACCTCGTGATCTGCCCACCTCGGCCTCCCAAAGTGCTGGGATTACAGGCGTGAGCCACTGCACCCAGCCGGCAATGTATTATTTTATATTTAAAGATAATTTTTGCCTAAAACTGCAACTTTGAATATTTGAGTCCTAAGTCTACTGTATTTCCTTGTTTTTTTAGGACTGTCAATAGTCAAAGAACTATAAACCAAAAATAAAATTATAAGGCCAGAATGTAAGCCAAAAATAAAATTCTGAGGTCCCCCAACCATCTGAATGGACTTCCTCCTCCACCAGGGCACTCTAAAATTTCACCTGAAAGACTGGTTCAAGCTAGGATGGGAAGTGGGGTTTGGACATTCCCCCTTCGACCCTCCAGCATTAACATCAACACAGACCTTAAGTCTGACAAGAAACATTAACGGTCGGCCTGGCTCGGTGGCTCACGCCCATAATCCCAACACTTTGGGAGGCCGAGGCGGGCAGATCACTAAGTCAAGAGATCAAGACTATCAGCCAACATGGTGAAACCCCATCTCTAATAAAAATACAAAAATTAGCCGGGCGTGGTGGCACGCACCTGTAGTTCCAGCTACTTGGGAGGTTGAGGCAGAAGAATGGCTTGAATCCAGGAGGCAGAGGTTGCAGTGAGCCGAGATGGCGCCACTGCCCTCCAGCCTGACAATAGAGCAAGACTCCATCTCAAAAATAAAAATAAAAAAGAAAGAAAAAGGAAACATTTACAGTCTATTGAAGCCTGCTATCTGGAGGTTTCATCTGCACCATTAAATTTTGGTCTCCATAACCTCTTAATGTAACCCAGACATTCCTTTCTACTGACAATAACTCTTTCAGCCAATTGCCGATCAGAAAATTTTAAAATCTACCTAAGACCTTGACCTCCAACCTTCCCCACTTCGAATTGTCCCACCTTTCTGCACAGAACCAATGTATATCTTTAAAGTATTTGATTGCTGTCTCTTGTCTCCCTAAAATATGTTAAACCAAGCTGTGCCCCAACCACGTTGGGCACATGTTCTCAGAACCACCTAAGGGCTGTGTCATGGGCCATGGTCACTCATATTTGGCTCAGAATAAATCTCTTAAATATTTTACAGTTTGACTTTTTTCATCAACAGAATGATACCCTCATAATAACCTGAAGATTCAGATGAAGTAAATGCACCACTTAATAAACTATAATGCCAGGTTTTAAATTGCATTCACCAATATTACAAAGGTTTTCTCACTGAAAATCAGTTAGTACTTTCCTGAGTTCAATAATTCATCCAAGCAACTGATCAGAGGTATGCATTTGAAAACTTTTTTGTTATTTTTAATAATAACTCTGTGACCTCATTTCTTTCACTCAAAAGTCAATAAACCTACAATAGGAAGTCTTCCCATGAATATAGTAGTTCTGTAGATTTGTTTTGGGAGAATGAGGTTTCGGAAGACTGATCTTTCCTGCTTATTGTCCCTGTGGGGCATAATAGTGTCCACACATAATGAATAGTATGCATCCCCTCACAGGGTGATGCTAATGACACATGCCCTCCAGCAGCCCGCCCTGCATGCAGCTGATAGTGTGATAGCCCCTGCTGCAGGCATTCCTCTTCAATTTAAAAGCTGTAGAGAACATATCAGAGTTAGAAGGATGCAGACTCTCTGTTCCAGGAGAGTGATTACCTTCTGCAATCAAGCATGATAAAATTTATGATCTTTTACATATATTTGAAGACGTTGTCCTGTAGCATTACTAAAAGATGTATAGAGGTCTGGAGAAATATTCTACAAGAACTATGTATGACATGTTATCTTCAGTAATAGGATATAAATTTATAGCAATATGATTTTTAAAGGAGTTGTAAGTTATTTGTATTCTTTATGTTCTGGGATAAAGAGAAAAGCTGGCTGAAATAACCAGGAATTTCCACCACCATTATGAGTTGTTTCTTTAGCTCTGACTACAATGGCAAATTGAAACGGAGATTTTGGTATTTATCTGGTAAAGTGAAGCAAAAAGCAACTATACATGCCTACTGAAAAATAGTATTTGAAAACCTAAGTTATCCAAATTACCTGTACAAATTCACCAAATAAGTAGTCAACACTTACCCTACATGCTCAAAGCTGATATACAAGTATCTGGAGAATAAAAAAGGAATATTTTAATGGAAGCCTATTTAGTGAATGTGGAATTCAGGGAATGATGTCCCATCGTTAACAACTAAAATCTGAGAGATTTTCATGGAGTTATCAAAATGTTCTCTCATTTGTTAGCATCTAAAATAATTATGCCAGCAATATGGTCTACAGGCTGCTTCTACCAACTGACTAGACAACCATTTTCTCAAATTAAATTAACCCCATACTCTATAGTTTATAGAAGTCTCTCTCAAAAAAGCTTCAACCTCTCACCAGACAGAGATATTTCTAATAGTGTTTATCTTCAGTGAAAAAAAAAAGCTCATACTTCATTAACTTTAAAAAAGTAAAGTAAGCCTTGCATTAATGAAACAGGATAATTCCCTTGACCCCTTCGTGGGACTCAGACTATAGCTCTCAACCCCTTACAGAAGTGGGAGCATGCAGGCGAGTGGGTACAGGGGCCAGGACAAGTGCTTCTGGGCAACCAGCAGGAGCAGAACTCCGTGAGAGCCCATGGCAGCATCTAGGGGTTGCCTGCCAACCCCAAGGCCCCAGAGGGCATGTGTTAGAGTGCACTCTCTTAGCTTTGCCATCCATGGTTGGCTTAAGTGTTACACAGCTCAGTGGAGGGTCAGTGTGACAGCCTCTTGTACCCACACCCGGGTCCTTGTCCATCATCCAGGAAGAATAAGGTCACATGAATGAATTGAAGGGTGGTGAATGTGGAGGATTTTATTGAGCGGTAGAAGTGGCTCTCAGCTGGATGGGGAGCTAGAAAGGGAATGGAGTGGGAAGGTGGTCTTCCCCTGGAGTTTGGCCATCCCTGGCCAAACTCTTCTCCAAGGTCTTATCATTAAGCCATCCCTGTGAAGTCAAGCTGCTTCTCTCTGATGTCCAGCTGCTGCTTCTCTTGTCTCCAATGTCTGGCTGTTCCTTCTCTCCTTCTCTGCCTCTCTGCCAGTGGAGCCTGGCTTTTTATGGGTACAGGATGGGGGATAGGGTGGGCCAGGGTGGTTTTGGAAAAGGCAACATTTCCAGCTGGAAAACAGGAATGCATGTTTTCGCTTTGGGCTGCAGGTCCAGGTTTGAGGATGGGGCTTTGTCCGCGACACTGCCCTTTTCTGCTTAGTATTTCCCAACCTCCTGTCCGTATCATTCATTAGAAACAGCTTTGCCGGCTGGGTGCAGTGGCTCACGCCTGTAATCCCAGCACTTTGGGAGGACGAGGTGGACAGATCACGAGGTCAGGAGCTCAAGACCAGCCTGGCCAACATGGTGAAACCCCGTCTCTACTAAACATACAAAAATTAGCTGGGCATGGTGGCGCACGTCTGTAATCCCAGCTACTGGGGAGGCTGAGGCGGGAGACTCGCTTGAACCTGGGAGGGGGAGGTTGAAGTGAGCTGAGATCACACCACTGCACTCCAGCCTGAGCAACAAAGTGAGACTTTGTCTCAAAAAAAAAAAAAAAAAAAAAAAATAGAAAAAGCTTTGCCATCAGTGTCAAAAGATCTGTTTCCATTCTGGATCTGCCACTAACTAGAGGTGTGCCCATTTGACAAGTGCCTGTGATACCTTCAAAGACAATTCTTTTACAATGAGATTAATGTGTTAAAATTTTTTTCACATATGAAATTAAACAAATATATAACAAAACTGTGTACCAAAATCTAGTCTCCCCTTCTTATCATTTCCCAGCCTCTCTTGCAGTTGGATGGCCATGTGACTATATCCCCCCTGAAGGAATGTGAGTATAAAGTAATGTGGTAAATCTCACTTCAGGACTTAGTCTTTTTAGACAGTATATTTTCTCCATGTTCCCTTTCCCTTCTACTAGCCAGATCCTAGGCATGGCAACCAGCCTAAATCATGCAGATGACAGTATACTCTGGTTATGCAAGAATAACAAGTTAGAAAGAGCCTCAGTCTCTGAATCACAGTATGGAATAGAGCCATTCACTGACCTGTACTCGTCGTGGGCACTTACATGAGAAATAAACTTACAATGTACTTAAGTGATTACAAATTTGGATTTATGTATCATGCACCCTCTGATTTATTGGTTCCATTACCAGAAATACCTTCCTTCCAAGAACTTGGAAAAATGTGCACAATATATTATTAAGTAAGGTGAGTATGTATCAGAAAAACAGATTGTCGCCAGGCACGGTGGCTCATACCTATAATCCCAGCACTTTGGGAGACCAAGGCAGGCGGATCATTTAAAGCCAAGAGGTTGCTGCAATAAGCTATGATTGAGTCACTTCATTCCAGCCTGGGCAACAGACTGAATCCTATCTCTAAAAAAAAAAAAAAAAAAAAAAGTGCCAGGCACGGTGGCTCACGCCTGTAATCCCAGCAGTTTGGGAGGTAAACTTGGATGGATCATTTGAGGTCAGGAGTTCGAGACCAGCCTGACCAACATGCTGAAACCCCGTCTCTACTAAAAATAACAAACGTAAGCCAGGCATGGTGGCATGCACCTGTAATCCCAGCTACACGGGAGGCTGAGTCAGGAGAATCCCCTGAACCCAGGAGGTGGAGGCTGCAGTAAACTGAGATTGCACCACTTTGCTCCAGCCTGGGCAACAGAGCAAGACTCCTTCTCAAAAAAAAAAAAGTAAAGAAAAAAAATCAGAAGAAGGTAATTACATTCTAGTCCATCAAGTTATTTTTATTTTTTGTTTCAGATTACAGGTGTCTGTTTCAAGAGAGTGTATATGAAGAATATGGTTTAAAACCAACATGAACATGATATAACCCAAAGAGAAAAATCAAATAATATTTTTAAATGCTTATTTGAAAAAAAATGGTAAAAGCTACTTACCAGCACAATTGCTTAGAACCTAGTGATTTCAATTCAGCAAACCAAATGTTTTGTATTTATTTATTTATTTATTTATTTATTTATTTATTTATTTATTTTCAGACAGTCTTGCTGTGTCACCCAGGCTGGAGTGCAATGGTGCAATCTCAGCTCACTGCAACCTCCACCTCCCAGGCTCAAGTGATCCTCCTGCCTCAGCCTCCCAAGAAGCTGGGACCACACCTGGCTAATTTTTGTATTTTTTGTAGAGACAGGGTTTTACCATGTTGCCCAGGCTGGTTTTGAACTCCTGGCCTCAAGCCATCCACCTGCGTTGGCCTCTCAAAGTGCTGGGATTACAG
Organism: Homo sapiens; assembly: GCF_000001405.40. NCBI lineage: Eukaryota > Metazoa > Chordata > Mammalia > Primates > Hominidae > Homo > Homo sapiens. The sequence continues at coordinate 17,576,318 of NC_000006.12, forward strand.
GCATGAGCCACCATGCTCGGCCAATCAAACATTTTTTAAACATTTCTATGTGATTGATACTAAGGGTACAAGGGGACAAGAGCCCTAGTCCCTGCCTTGAAAAAAATACACAAGTAGAAGAATCCTTTAGAAAAATGTAAATTTTTTTATTCCTAAAAACAAGGTTTAAATGCATACTTTCTAAAGTCACTGAAAAAGAGAAAACAAACAAAAATATAGTTATATACCAAAGTACAGAAAATAACTGAACAAAGAATAAGATACAGAAATAACAGCACGAGACGAAAAATTAAGATCAAAAGAGATACCAATAAATAAAATGTGACAAATTATATCATGAAAATACAAAAAATTCAATTAAACAAATATATATATGTATATAGACACTATTTCTAGAAGTATCTCACAACTTTAGAACTAAAAGGATGACAAAGGGATAATAAATGAAAGCAAACACCAATAAAACAGAAATCACAATATTAGTAATATGTATAATAACAAAAATATTAAAATATGTAAAGCAAATATATTAAACAGAACAATAGAGGTTATTTTATAATCATGAAAGATCTAATTAACACCAAAAATATAACTCTCAGAAGTCTTTATATGTTTGTATTTGTGTTCTCTTGCTGCATAACACAATACTACAAACTTAGCAGCTTGAAACATTACTCATTTATTATCTCATAGTTTCCATAGGTCAGAAGTCTGGGCCCAGTGTAGTTGCGTGCTTATAAAAGTATTGGTTACTATTAGGATCTCACAAAATTGAAATTAAATCAAGATGCCAGCTAAGGTGTGTTCTCATCTACTCATCTAGGGTTTAGGATCCTCTTCCAAGCTCATTCAAGTTACTAGTGTTGGAAGTAAATGCTTGGTGCCACCAAGTGAAAATAGCACTCAGGCAAGTTTTCTCAGCAAGGCAATTTACTTCTATAGAAGGGTGCATCTCATGGATACAGCAATGGCGAGAGCACACCAGACAAGGGAGGGGAAGGGAGTCTTATTCCTAAAGCATGCAGCTAGCCCCTACTGCTGCCTCTCTCCCCTATTGGCTAGGGTTGGACCACACAGTCTAAGCTAATGCTGACTGGCTATTTTAAAGAGAGCAAGGGTACCACCCAGAGTGGTGGGGTGAGTAGTTTCGGTGGGAGGCATGGTTACAGAACAGGTGACTAAGGATGCCTAAGGACAGCACAGGTGACTAAGGATGGCTGAGGACAGAGCATGTGACTAAGGATCCCTAAAGACAGAACAGGTGATAGAGGCTAGGAGGGTAAAGAATGAGGACGTTAAACTTTAAAATGGAGGACAAAGGACAGGGAAGCTGAACATACTGACATATTGGTTTTTTGAAGAGGAACTCAGAATTCATTGTACTTAACAATTTTTCTTCCTCTTGAATTTTAAAGGAAGTTAACAGGCTAAACTTAGAAGAGGAATTTACTGTATCCTACATTAGTAAAATTCAGTTCCTTGAGACTGTAGGACTGGGGTGTCTGCTTTCTTGCTGGATATTGGCTGGGATCACTCTTAGCTCCTGGAAGCCGTGTGCAAGCCCTTGCTACACGGCCCCTCCCATAGGCAGTTCTCAACATGGCTGTTTGCTTCCGCAAGGCCAGCATGGGGCTCTCTCTCACTTCAAATCTCTCTAACCCCTTCTATTTCTGACCTTCCAACTCTCTTTTAAAGGTCTCACTTGATTTGGTCAGGCCCACTCAGGATAATCTATCATTTGATCAACTTAAAATTGATTGATTCAGAACCTTAGTTATATCTGCAAAATCCCTTCAACTTTTCCATATAACATAACTTAATCATGGGACTCATAGCCACCCACATTCCCAGATTTCTCTCACACTCAAGAAGAGGGGATTATTACGTGGAATGTATACTAGCCACCAGGAATTTTAGAGACCATCTTAGAATGCTACCTGCCAGTGTTGAATTGTTTTTCATGAAAATATATTAGTTGTTAATATATTAAGTATATTAACCATTAAAAATGCAAAAAGATGGATTTTTAAAAATATATAAGTAGTGTGTTATCATATATATTTCTGTCTTTGACAGACTGACTAGGCAGAAAAAAATGGACTACAATACAAGAAATCAGAATTATATAATTAAGATTGATTTGAAAGATTATTGGAACTCTAAAAACAGAATATAGTTGTTTTTCCATTGTCTTATGGACTTAATCCTGTATTTGATAAAGTGAAAATCTTGGAGTCTGAAAAGTAAATATTACATGGGCCAGTCTCTGAGTGCAAGACAATAGAGCTAACAGAAGAAAAAATTAACCAAAGTTATGCAGGCATTGAAAAAGTTTACTCTTTTAAATAATTTTTGATTCAAAGAAGAGAGGTGGGTATTACAATAATAACTTAGTGACAAAGGATTATAGAATGATAAGCATTCCAGCCAAAAACTTAGGGAAAGGAAATGAAACATAATCAAGGAATATAGGAAAAATAAATTAATTATAATAAAGCAAACATTAAAGAATTAAAACATTCAAAGTTTATTTTTTATGTTTGAAAAAGCAGTGAAGAATGTGGAAAGATATGTACTGACTTAACAGTGAGTGGTAATCCTTTGAGGTGCAAACACAATTGTCTTTTTTTGTGGTTTAAATTTGTTATAATAAGCTTGGATTACTTTTATAATTATAAATAGATGATAGGTAGACAAACAAGGAATATTCTGGTTTTTAAAGATTAGCTAGAAAGTTCCAAGTATTATATAAACCATTTTTCCAATATCTTTTTTTTCTCTTTGTTGAGACAGGGTCTTGCTCTATTGTCCAGGCTGGGTTCAAGCGATTCTCCTGCCTCAGCCTCCCAATTAGCATGGATTACAGGCATCTGCCACTACACCTGCCTAATTTTTTGTATTTTTAGTAGACATGGGGCTTCACCATGTTGGCCAGGCTGCTCTCGAACTCCTGATGTCAGGTGATCCACCCACCTGGGCCTCCCAGTGCTGGGATTACAGGCGTGTGCCACCACACCCAGCCCATTTTTCCAATATCTTATGGAACATATTTAAAAATTCATCATGCAATAGTTCAAAATTAATGTCTCAAATTCCAAAATACAAATATTATATAGGCGTTGTCTCAAAACTCAAATAATAAAACTATAAAATTATAATTTAAAAATAACTGAAAAAATAAAAAGTTAATTGTTTTTGACAAGTATTTTGATTTTTTAATTTTTTTAGTGGTTATAAATGTCTTTAGGTTTTTGTCTTTAAGTCAATTTTGGCAATTTATCATTTTCCTAGGAAATAACCTATTTTCTCTGGGTTTTCAAATTTGTTGGAATGAACTTGAACGTCAACTTCATTTTATTTTGAAAAAATTGTTTCAGTATTTTCTTTTTCTTTCTTTTTTTTTTTGAGACGGAGTCTCACTCTGTCACCCAGGCTGGAGTGCAGTGGTGCGATCTCAGCTCACTGCAAGCTCCGCCTCCCGGGTTCACGCCATTCTCCTGCCTCAGCCTCCGGAGTAGCTGGGACTACAGGCGCCCGCCACCGCGTCGGGCTAATTTTCTGTATTTTTATTAGAGACGGGGTTTCAACGTGGTCTCCATCTCCTGACCTCGTGATCCGCCCGCCTCGGCCTCTCAAAGTGCTGGGATTACAGGCATGAGCCACCGCGCCCGCTGTTTCAGTATTTTCAATACAATTTCTCATTCTTAATGTCTATAGTTATAATTTTTTTCTTAATTAACATTACTAGACTTTCACACGCTATATATATGTGTGTATATATATGTGTATGTGTGTATATATATATATTTGTGTTTTTTTTTTGTTTTTTTTTTTAGACTTAGTCTGGCTCTGTCGCCCAGACTAGAGTGCAGTGGCGCGATCTCAGCTCACTGCAAGCTCCGCCTCCGGGGTGAATTCACGCCATTCGCCTGCCTCAGCCTCCAGACTAGCTGGGACTACAGGCGCCCGCCACTACGCCGGGCTAATTTTTTGTATTTTTAGTAGAGACGGGGTTTCACCGGGTTAGCCAGGATGGTCTCGATCTCCTGACCTCGTGATCCGCCCGCCTCCCGCCTCCCAAAGGGCTGGGATTACAGGCGTGAGCCACCGTGCCCAGCCTGTATGTGTATATATATATATATTTTTTTTCAAAGAATTAGCTTTTAGATTTATTGAGAAATTGTACTATTGCTTTCTCTGCCGCTCTTGGTGCTGCTTGTATGCTCATTCTGAGAGGTGGCAGCGTGCTGGCAGCCTCGCAGCCCTCGCTCTCTCTAGGCGCCGCCTCCTCGGCCTTGGCGCCCGCTCTCGCGGCGCTTCAGGAGCCCCTTCAGCCCGCCGCTGCACTGTGGGAGCCCTTTTCTGGGCTGGCCAAGACCGAAGCCGGCTCCCTCGGTTTGCGGAGAGGTGTGGAGGGAGAAGCGTGGAGGGAGAGGCGCGGCTGGGAAGCCGGGCTGCGCGCGGCGCTTGCGGGCCAGCGCGAGTTCCAGATAGGCGTGGGCTCGGCGGGCCCCGCCCGTCGCAGCTACTGGCCGGCCCCGCCGGCCTGGGCAGTGAGGGGCTTAGCACCTGGGCCAGCAGCTGCTGTGCTCGATTTCTCGCGGGGCTTTAGCTGCCTCCCTGACGATCGCCGCCCCCTGCTCCACGGCGCCCAGTCCCATAGACCGCCCAAGGGCTGAGGAGTGCGGGCGCACGGCTCCGGACAGGCAGGGAACTCCACTTGCGCCCCCGGTGCAGGATCCACTGGGTGAAGCCAGCTGGGCTCCTGAGTCTGGTGGGGACTTGGAGAATCTTTATGTCTAGCTAAGGGATTGTAAATACAGCAATCAGCACTCTGTATCTAGCTCAAGGTTTGTAAACACACCAATCAGCACTCTGTGTCTAGCTCAGGGTTTGTGAATGCACCAATGGGCACTCTGTATCTAGTTAATCTGGGGGGGACTTGGAGAATCTTTATGTCTAGCTAAGGGATTGTGAATGCACCAATCGGCAGTTTGTATCTAGCTCAGGGTTTGTAAATACACCAGTCCACACTCTGTATCTAGCTAATCTAGTGGGGACCTGTAGAACTTTTGTGTCTAGCTCAAGGATTGTAAATGCACCAATCAGCACCCTGTCAAAACGGACCAATCAGCTGTCTGTAAAACAGACCAATCGGCTCTCTGTAAAATGGACCAATCAGCAGGATGTGGGCGAGGCCAGATAAGAGACTAAAAGCAGGCTGCCCGAGCCAGCAGTGGTAACGGGCTAGGGGCTGGTTCTATACTATGGAAGCTTGTGTTCTTTTGCTTTTTGCTATAAATCTTGTTATTGTTTATTGTTTGGGTCCACACTGCCTTTGTGAACTGTAACAGTCATTGCGAAGATCTGTAGTTTTACTTCTGAAGCCATCCTAGACCACGAACCCACCGGGAGGAACAGATAACTCCAGACAGGCCGCCTTAGGAGCTGTAAAGCTCACCGCAAAAACATGCAGCTTCACTCCTGAGCCAGTGAGACCACTGAACCCACCAGAAGGAAAAAACTCCAAACATATCAGAACATCAGAAAGAACAAACTCTAGACATGCTGCCCTTAAGAACTGTAATACTGCTAGGGTGTGTGGCTTCATTCTTGAAGTCGGTGAGACCGAGAACTCACAAATGTCAGACACAATCCGGTGCAGACTTGATACCTGTTTTATGAAGGGGCAGCTGAGGAGACTCTGGCGTTTCCCATGGCCTACGAAAAGCCCTAGGAAGGAGTCGAGCCTGAGAACAATGATCATATTAATTTGAAGGGGGCGGGGCGGTTCTGGGGTGCACTTTAAGAGGTATGCACCACTTAGTAAACTAATTAAAGCCTATTGTGAATGACAGGGATTGTCAATGAGGCAGGTCAGATTCTGATTTGATGGGCAACCCATCAATGAAATAGATAACACCTACACAGTTGGAGGATGAAGATACAATCGATATGCTCCAACAGCAGACAGGAGGTGTTTCCTGAAGAGAGAACCTGGTTCTTCACTCCAGAACTGTTAACTTTAAAGACCAAGATTACATTCGCAATTAGAAAACCGATTTGGTTCCACCACATCGTGAGTACTATAATATAGCTTTCTCTATTCTTTCATTTCCCCCTTCCCCATTTCTTTATTGTACATAACGTAACTGGTGTATGTGCACAAGCATATTCCTTTTTTTTTTTAACCAAGCAGCCAATGGTATGTTTCGATTGACATCAAGTGGTGACGGGATGGGGAAAAACACTGAGGCTGTGGAAATACCCCATTTTCTCCATTAGTGGCATGCTCAGTCGGCTCTTACGTTTATATTCCAGTAAGTTATTTTGCTCTCACTATTTTAACAAAAAAATAAAAAAAATCCTTGCATACCTTGTTCAGTTGGAGAATTTTAATGTTTTTCATTTACCATTGTAAAACCAAGGACAATTTTATACTTTTTTGTACGTAGCTGTTACGTGTAGGGCAATCTGTCTTTAGGGATAAATTACTCTAAAACAAAGAATCCTAGTTTTCCCTTCAAGTTAAGCATCTTGTTTAAACTCCTTGTTTTAAATGAAAAAAAGTATTATCATTCTGGTTTCTAATTTTTGAATTTTTGATGGCTGTCTCATTTATTTTCTTTGTTTTGCTTTTGTAGATAATCCTACAGGAAATACGCTTGACTTGTATTGCTCTATTCTAGTGCTCATATTTCTGTAAGGTAGATTTCTAAAAGGATTAAGGATTCACAAGGCTCAGATATTCTGAATTTGGGTGGATGCTGCCTAATTATCCTTCGAAAAATGTCTAAGCCTATACTTCCACAAATGACTGAACCTGTTTTTCTCCAAACCTCGTCAACTCTGGATACCACCTCTCTTAGTCATTTTTCCAGTCTGATGTGCAAAAACATGACATGGCCTATTTAAGTGCATAAAATTGATCAAGAGTGAGGACAGTCTATTGAATAAAAAAGATAAGTTCTCATGGTTAGTAAGAATAAAATGAGCCAGGATATTAAACATGGAAGAGTATATAGGCCTGTGAAAAGAGGGAAAATGAAGAAACCAGGAGAATTGTGGAATTTTTTGAGTGCAAGAAGAAGGGGGGCCTCTGTTTGCAGGAAAATAGAATAGGAATAATACAAAAATTTTTAATTAAAAAATAGAGAAAGGGGAGCCAGAGTAAGTGGGAATTTGATGAGGTTTAGTTGAGGTTTCAGTTAATGTCCTACGTGTGTACAGCTTCAGACTGGCCAGGCATTGGGTCTCCACTTCATGTCAATGATAAGATGATGTAATAGAGTAAGTCTTAACGAGGAGGGTAAGATCAGCGATCAGGTTGGTGGGCTCCACCTTGCAGGGAGGTCAGGAGGAGGTATGGGATGAGTGCTGGGTGACACAGGCAAGGGTCAAATTCTAAGGGAAGAAATTGCGTTAGGCACAGAAGGCCTAAACTGACGTGCTCAGGAGCGTCTGTGGCTGTTCCCTCTGGATTCATTGTTTCCAGGTCTAAAAAAGGAAGGAGCAGCAGAAGCAACTCAATGTTTTTTTATATTTGTTTGTACCAACACTATATTTTACAAATATTTACGTTTGTCTTTCATAATAGCCTTCTATTGCTGACTGGACCAAAGCCAAACTCAGCCTCCCTCCCTGACCTTTCTGCATGATGTCACCCTTTCTAGCATCTACCCACGGCACTCTCTTGTTGGCTTCCTTCCTCTCGTATGTCACAGTCATTTTCTTCACACACTCGACTTATTTTCAGTTTTTTAATCTCATGCTATCCCTACCCAAAGCAATGCTTTCTCTTGGCCCCAATCTCATATTTCACAAGTAAAATCCAATCCTAATCTAAAATAGTCTTTCCTTTTGCCAGAATATCATGGGCGATGTACTTCTATGAGCATATATCTCAGAGCTGCTCCACAGTCTTCTATTAGTATAAAGCGGAGAAGGCTGAACAGATTACTTTAAGGCCCTCAGCTCTGAAGTTGGGTTTTGGAGCCTGTGGTGTTCTTAGCTTTGGAAATTCCTCCACCTACTGGTTGCCTAAAATCCTGTCTGTTCACATTATATAATGAGGTTCGCAGTTGTTTTATGAGATCGGCCTATTTTTAAGAGTAACACGGGCCTCTTGTGAATGATGACACATTTCTAAGTCATTTCGAATTCCTAAAATAAAATTAAAAATGTGCTATAAAGAAAATATTTTCTTATAATAGAAAATGTTTTCAAGCAGATGACAAATTTCTTAATGCTTTTGAACAACCATTAGGGGGCAGAAAATCATTACACAGTATAGCAATTCAATCCACGTTAGGCTGGAGAAGAGAAAGCCTATTTTATGTGTATTTCCAAAAGTTAGTACCAAAATCAAGTTATTTTTCAGTGTAATCATTGATTTGGTGCTTGGGTATCTTATTTACAAAAGAAGCCTTCCGTAGTGGCTTTATTTTTTACAACTTGCTTCCTATCAGTGTATCAAATCAGATGAACCTTACTCTGAAGGAAACACTTTAGAGACCAATGTGACATCTTGGGGCAGGGTTGCCATATATGACTAGTAAGAATAGTTGAAATATGTTGATAAACTAAAAGTAAGTTTATCTCACTAAAAATTAGAGAAATTCATAACAAAACAATAGATTTATGGCTGCCCAAGTTTCAGGAACTCTCTTTTCAGTCACCCTATCAAACGATGGGTTCAAGCGTGGTTAAAAATAGTTCGCTACTTCTTTAACAGCTTCTCTTCCCCCAAAAAACAACTCCTTAAAGATTAGAATGCAATTATTTCTACTTCTCACTTCCATTCCCCCATCAGCCAGCCTTTCACCTCTCACCCCATGAAACTTCCCAATGAATGCCACCCTTGACTTCCTAATGGCCGAATCCAGGTTCTCTAATTGGAAGGATGATAAACAAGCACTTGCTAATTTAAGTTTAAGAGAAATTTATTAAAAGTATATCACAAGCTGGATACAGTGGCTCACGCCTGTAATCCCAACACTTTGGGAGGCTGAGGTGGGTGGATCGCTTAAGCCCGGGAGGTCGACACCAAACTGGCCAAAATGGAGAAACTCCGTCTCTACAAAAAAAACACACAAAAATATAGCCAGGCATAGTGGCACTTACCTGTAATCCCAGACACTTGAGAGGCTGAGGTGGGAGGATCACCGGAGCCTGGGGAGGTCAAAGTTGCAGTGAGCCATGATCATGCCACTGCACTCCAACCTGGGAAGCAGAGCGAGACCCCATCTCAAAAAATAAAATAATAGGCCAGGCATGGTGGCTCACGCCTGTAATCCCAGCACTTTGTGAGGCCAAGGCGGGCAGATCACGAGGTCAGGAGTTCGAGACCATCCTGGCCAACATGGTGAAACCCATCTCTACTAAAAATACAAAAATTACCCAGACGTTGTGGCAGGCGCCTGTAATCCCAGCTACTTGGGAGGCTGAGGCAGGAGAATCGCTTGAAACTGGAAGGCAGCGGTTGCAGTGAGCAGAGGTTGTGCCACTGCACTTCAGCCTGGGCAACAAGAGTGAAACTCCGCCTCAAAATCAATCAACCAATCACAGCTCCTGAAATTAAAGGAAGCATAGGTAGCAAGAGTTAATCAACACTCTTATCAGATAAGGGCCCTCTGCTGGCACTACATTTATTCCATCCTTGGATCACTTGGCTCAAGTTTCCAAGTCCTCATAAGTCAGTCCAATCTGCTGAGCTCGGGCCACATACCCACCTGGTGGCTTGGAGTGAGCAGTGCAGAATGCCCTGAGAGTCTTAGCACAGGTGCACACATTGGGGGAAGAGTTAAGTGGAAATTCTCTCTCTCCAAAAGAAGGGGGGAAAAAAGAGGTAGTGTGGTCAAAAGAGAAAATGTCCACCACAGTTTTCATCCTTCCTGATTTCTTTGTGGTTTTCACACCAGATGTAACTCCTGTGATGGTTAATTCTATGTGTCAACATGACTGGCCAAGGGGCACCCAGATTAAACGTTGTGTCTGAGTGTGTCTGCGAGGGTGTTTCCAGATGAGGTTAGCATTTGAATTGGTGAATTCAGTAAAGCAGGTTGGCCGCCTCAATGTGTGTGGGCATCATCCAATCTGTTGGGAGCCTGAACAGAACAAGAAGTGGAGGAAGGAGGAATTCTTCCATTTTTTGTTTCCTGCTTGCCTGCTTGAGCTGGTACATTGGTCTTCTGACCTTGGACTGGGAATCACACCCATATATATACACATATACATACACATGCACACCCATATATATATATATACATACGCACACCCATATATTTACACATATACATATGCACACCCATATATATACACATATACATACACACGCACACCCATATATATACACATACGCACACCCATATATATACACATATACATACACACCCATATATACACATACACACGCACACCCATATATATACACATACACGCACACCCATATATATACACATACACGCACACCCATATATATACACATACGCACACCTATATATACACATATACATACACGCACACCCATATATATACACATATACATACACACGCACACCCATATATACACATATACATACACACGCACACCCATATATACACACACACGCACACTCATATACACACACATACACACGCACACCCATATATATACGTATATACATACACACGCACACCCATATATATACACATATACATACACATGCACACCCATATATATACATATACACACTCGCACACCCATATATATACACATATACATACGCACACCCATATATACACATATACATACACTCGCACACCCATATATACACACATATACATACACACGCACACCCATATATATACACACATACACACGCACACCCATATATATACACATATACATACACGCACACCCATATACACACACACACACACACACACACACTGTATTGGTTCTGGTTCTCTGGAAAACCCTAACATGACTCCTTTCTTATGGAAAGTCTCTCTTCCCACTCAATCCTACTTTCCTACCGACCTCACTAACTATTCCTTCTCCATCTCTGTTTTTTTTTCTCTGTTCTTGGCTTTCTTTTCTTGTTTCATTGTTTTCCATCTACTTGTCATTTCAAGGGCCATCTGTATGCCTATGACTCTCTCAATCTGTATTCTTTTTTATTTTAAAACTTTTTTTGCTTTTGCTTTTTTTCTCTTCTTTATTTCTGAATGATCAATCTGTATCTTTACAGATGCAACATATTCAACAGCTGGTGTCCCTTGGATGGCCCACCAGCACCCCACTGCCCCACTTCCACCCTCTTGCTCTCCCTTCCTCTGCCTTCTTCATTTCCATGAACGGCATCACAATCCACTCACCCAGTCATCCAAGCCACAGACTCTCTCCAAATACATTCAGTCATCAAATTCTGCAGACTGAGGCATGGTGAGGCAGTTCACCCCTGTAATTCCAGCATTTTGGAAGGCTGAGGTGGGTGGGTCGCTTGAGCCTAGGACTTTGAGACCAGCCTGGGCAAAATAGGGAGACCCTGACTCTTAAAAAAAAGAAAACAGTCTGCAGATTGTGCTTCCTTAATTTCACTCAAATGTCTCCTCTCCTTTATATTCCCATTGCTATTGTCTTGCTTCAAGTTCTCTTCATCTTATCTAGGGTGTAGTCTCCCAACCGGAGTCCACATCTTCAATTTTACACCATTTCAATCCATCTTCCACACTGTTCCCAGAGAGAGATTTCTGAAAAAACAAATATGACCAGATTTATCTCCCTCGTTAAAGCCCTTTATAACTTCTGCTGTCTACAGGATAAAGTGCAAACTCCCTCACATGGGACCAAAGCCCTATATAAACCAACCCCTCCCTACTTTTCCAGATTTGTCTCTATTCAGATCTACCTCACACCGTAAGTATCAGCTTGGCTATTTCCGTGAACTTTGCCCATGTTGCCCTTCCCCTGAAATCGGCTTCCCTCCGATGTTCTCTCTGTCTCTCTTTTTTTTTTTTAAATTAGAGATGGGGTCTTGCTCTGTCACCCAGGCCGGAGTGTAGTGGTGTGACCATAGCTCACTGTAACTTCAGACTCCTGGGTTCAAGCAATCCACCTGCCTCTGCTTCTCAAGTAGCTAGGACTACAGCTGTGTACCACTCCACTAGCTAATTTGTTAAAAAATTTTCATAGAGATGGGGTCATGCTATGTTGCCCTGACTAGTCTCTAGCTCCTGGGCTCAAGCAATCTTCCTGCCTCAGCCTCCCAAAGCTCTGGAATTACAGGTGTGAGCCACCACACCTAGCCATCTACCATGTTCTTTTTTGTTGTTGTTGTTGAGACGGAGTCTCACTCTGTTACCCAGGCTGGAGTGCAGCGGCGCGATCTCGGCTCACTGCAAGCTCCGCCTCCCGGGTTCATGCCATTCTCCTGCCTCAGCCTCCCGAGTAGCTGGGACTACAGGCACCTGCCACCATGCTCGGCTAATTTTTTTGTATTTTTAGTAGAGACGGGGTTTCACCGTGTTAGCCAGGATGGTCTCGATCTCCTGACCTCGTGATCCGCCTGCCTCGGCCTCCCAAAGTGCTGGGATTACAGGCGTGAGCCACCGTGCCCGGCCCATGTTCTTATAATACTTTTAAGCTCAACTCAAAGCCACCTCCTCTCTAAAGCCTTTCCCAGTTGTCACCTCTGTCTCTCAAAGGTAGAACTGACCACTCCCTCCTTTGGGTTCACACTTGACCCCCGTACCTGTTTACCTGGCAGTCTCTCCCATCTAGTCTGTCATACTCTCAACAACCAAAATGGTGTTTCACTCATCTTTGCATTCCCAATACCTGTCATAGTATCCAGCACTTAAAATGCTTAGTAAATGAGTACAGAAGTGAATTTGTGACTAGAGTGGGTAGAGAAAGTCTACACACTCAGCCGAGGAAACTCAGGGAAAACAGAGTCACTCTGTTTAGAACCAGCTGGGGCTATCTCGAGCCACAGTGTATGCCAGTGACTCTCCACTCTGCTTGCACAGTAGAATTGCCTGGAGGGTATTTAGAAAATATGGATGGTGGGGTCCTAAAAAAAGCCAGTTAAATCAGAATCTTTAGGGGTGGGCCTAGACATGGGTGTTTTTTAGAGACTCCTCCAAGATTCTAGTGTGCAGTCAGAATCAAGAACCACTGGTGCAGAGCATTCCTGAAATGACTGCAGACAGACTACAGGGGAATGAGAGCAGACTCCTACGGTGTGGCTGAGCAGAATGCCCAGGTGGCAAATAGCTCCTCCTCCAAGGGAAAAGCATGAGCATCACTGGTCTATGACACAGGCACAGCCTTGTAATCAATGATGAGGAATGCCTTCAAGAGCGACGCCAGATGGTAGCACTTGAATATTTTATGACTCAGCTCCAAGGAAGTTTGTTGAGAGGAAATACAGGTTGAGCATTCCTAGTCTGAAAAATCTGAAATTAAAAATGCTCCAAAATCCAAAACTTTTTTAGCACTGACATGGCACAAAAGTGGGAAATTCCACACTTGTCCTCATGTGACAGGTCACAGTTAAAACACAGGTGTAGAACACACAGTTGATTCAGAATGCCTCCTCAGCCCCAGAGGACCCACATCCTGGTCTTTCAACTGCTTCTGATGTTTCTTCTCACCTAAAAAAAAAAAAATACAAAAATACAGGGTACAGTGTGCAGTAGCCTTTTTTTTTTTTGAGACAAGTTTTTGCTCTGTCACCCAGGCTGGAATGCAGCAGCACTATCACGGCTCACTACAGCCTCGAACTCCTGGGCCCAAGAGATCCTCCCACCTTAGCCTCCAGAGTAGCTGAGACTACATGTGTGGCCACCATGCCCGGCTAATTTTTTAAATATTTTGTAGAGACAGGGCCTCGCTATGTTGCTCAAGCTGGTCTCAAACTCCTGACCTCAGGTGATCCACCCACCTCGGCCTCCCAAAGTGCTGGGATTACAGGCATGAGCCACCACGCCTAGCCATGCAATAACCTTTTAATCAAAACAGCATTGTAGTGGATACTAAAAGCCTACCATCGTTTGTTGTTGTTTCCAGCTATTCAGGTATTCTGATGGTGCTACTGTGCTGCTTACTTAACCTTTACTCATTATTTTTTTCACTAAAATTTTTCCCGTTTTTTCATTAACAGCATGTCATATTTTTTACTATTACACACTTATGTTTGAATTAAGTATAAAAAAATGATTGCTCATCAGTAGCACATAAATTCAGTCAGGAATGATGGTGATGCCAAACAACTACAGACTGTCCACATGGGTGGCTAACATAGTGACACTTATGCTTTCTGATGGATCAATGTACTCAAGCTTTCTTTCAGGCACAACATTATGCAAAATATTACATAAAATTGTCTTCAGGCTATGTTAATAAGGTTATATAAAACATAAATGAGTCGGGCATGGTGGCTCACGGCTGTAATCCCAGAACGTTGGGAGGCTGAGGTGGGCGGGTCACCTGAGGTCAGGAGTTCGAGATTAGCCTGGCCAACATGGTGAAACCCCGTCTCTAATAAAAATACAAAAATTAGCTGGGTGTGATGGCGCATGCCTGCAGTCCCAGCTACTCGGGAGGCTGAGGCAGGAGAATCGCTTGAACCCAGGAGGTGGAGGTTGCAGAGAGCCAAGATGGTGCCATTGCACTCCAGCCTGGATGACAAGAGCGAGACTCCATCTCAAAAAATATATATATAAATAAAAATAAATGAATTTCATGTTTAGACTTGAGTTCCATCCCCAAGATATCTCGTTACATATATGCAAATATTCCAGGATCCAAAAAAAAAAAAAAAAAATTGAAATCCGTAACACTTCTAGTCCCAAGCATTTTAGATAAAGGATACTCAACCTATACTTACAGAGATGCAAACCTTCCTCCTTCTCAAGGAAAATGCTGCAGGAGAGATTTTGGGAGCCCTTTAGTTCACTGACAAGGAAAGGGAAATAATGTAAAGAATTTTAGAATCCTACTCTGTTTGGATTCTTTTGACTGTAACAGAAACAAAGGAAAAAGCTTAAGCAACTCTATATTTCAAGATTAAAATTCAATATGGTTTCAGGCATAGTTGGATCCAGGACAGAAATATGTCATAAGGGAACTTCCTTTGTTTCTCCATCTCTTGGTTCCACTTTTCTGTGTGTTGGTTTCAGTTTCCCGTAAGGTTAATTCATGTGGCAGCAAAAATAGCCACCAGCAGCTATAGGCCCATCCCATCCTTACATGTACCTAGCAGTCCAGTGAACAGAAAGTATCTCTTTTCAGTTGCTACAGAATCCCAGAGATGTCTCTATGTAGCCCAATCACATCATATTCTTATCCCTGAACCTGTGGCTAGGGGGATGCAATTCTCTCTTGTGCCTACTTCCAGGACCATAAGGGTGGAGTCAGTTTCATCTGAACCACATAGATTAAGAATGCGGGGTGGCACTGTTCTCCAAAGAGATGCTAAATAGGAAGAGAGAAGTCTATTTCATATGGTTCAGCTGGTACACCCTCTTGTGATTATGATCCTGTTATAGTTACAATTCTTTGGTTACAATCCAAAGAATCTGACTCTGGATAATAAGGAAAAAAATACCATAAGATATTGGTTCACTCACATAATCAAAGGGAAAGGTAAAAAATTGGGCCTTGAAATGATCAGGAACCAGGGATACTCTGAAGAAAGAGTAATGATGGATCTTCAACCACTTGCAGTCATCATTCGAGATTCAGATTCTATAGAGACAAAAATCTGATTGGCCTATATCCAAGGAGGAGGGAGCAGGCAGGTGGAATCGGGTTTGACGGTTCCATCTGTGCAAGAATCAAAAGAATGAGAGAGGGGTAGTTTTCCTAAGCATAAGCAAGATGCTGTTCCTGGAAGGTGGAAAGGATGTTGGGCAGTAAAAAACAAAAGCTGTTCAACTACACACCCAAATGGTCCCTGTCCCCCTCTCACTCTGCTCTCAAACCTCAGAGGCCAGAGCAAGTAAGGATTCAATAAAGACCAAGCCAACTTTCTGCAATTTTGCTTCCTATATTAGCTAAAAGTATCCAATGTGTTTGCAGTAAAATGTTCTAGCTTGGATCTGAAATCCCAAACATTGAATAACAATTACAGAAGTTTTCTAATGTAGCTCTGTTACTGAGACTAGTAAATGCATGCTTCTGCACAAAGACCTGATCCGCTTGGAAGAGGGTCATCTTTTCCAGTATCAACCACTTGGAGAAGCAAAGGGCAGGACTCAGGAAAAATCTCTTAACTGATTATCTGAATGTAGAGGATCTCGCTGTAACAGTGCAGGAAATGAATTGGAGCAGGTCAAGACTGAAGAAGATGGGAGGCAGGGAGACCGGTGGGGTTGTAGGTGGTATGCAGCAGTCTGCGGTATAGATATGCCACTACAGGTTTTACCAGCTTGCTAGTTATATTAAGTTCACAATCAAATAATGCTGCAGTGGTGTGGTCACAGCTCAGTGGAGCCTCAGCGTCTCAGGTTCAAGAGATCCTCCCACTGCAGCCTCTAGAGTAGCTGGGACTACAGGCATCCACCACCACGCTTGGCTAGTTTTTAAATTTTTTATAGAGACAGGGTTTCACTGTGTTACCCAGGCTGGTCTTGAACTCTTTGACTCAAGTAATCCTCCTGCCTCGGCTTCCCAAAGTGCTAGGATTACAGGTGTGAGCCACCACACCTGGCCCACATTTCTAATTATGACTGATACTATTAAATTGCCCTACATAGAGATTCTACCAATTTACACTGCCAACGAAGAAAGCCCACTGGCCTAGATCAATGGTTCTCCAACTTTAGTGTTCATCAGAATCACATGGAGGTCTTGTTAAAACACAGAGTGGTGAGCCCCAGGTCCAAAGTTTCTGATTCAGAAGGTGAGATGTGGGACCTAAGAATCTGCACTTCTAAAAAGTTTCCAGATGTAGGTTGAAAATCACTGCAATAGATCAACTTGGCTTCCACCACTTCATAGACCTGTTCTCCCCAAGTCAGTAAGTTCCTCTTCAGTTCTGTGGGCTTTTCTCCACCTCCATTTTGCTTAACTTTTCTGCTACATTTTAGATGTTTGTCTTTTTTTCTTTTCTTTCTTTCTTTTCTTCCTTTTTCTTTCTTTTCTTCCTTTTCTTTTTCTTTCCTTTTCTTTCTTCTCTTTTTTCCCTCCCTCCCTCCCTTCTCCCTCTTTCTTTCTCTCTCCCTTCCTTCCCTCCCTCCCTCTTTCTTTCTTACTCCCCCTCCCCCTTCCTCCTTCTCTTCTCTTCTGTTCTCTTCTCTCTTCTCACTTGGTCCTGTTTTCTTTCCTTGGCTCTCCTGTCCCTTAATGGACTTGGGCTTCATTTATTAGCCCACAGCTTTTCACCCAGAAGGAAAGCTCATTTCTTCTCAAGACTAAAAATATAAAGAGAATGTAAAGGCTGATGGGCAGGGTGGCAGGCGCCTGTAATCCCAGCTACTCGGGAGGCTGAGGCAGGAGAATTGCTTGAACCCGGGAGGCCGAGGTTGCAGTGAGCCAAGATTGCACCACTGCACTGCAGCCTGGGTGACAGAGCGAGACTTCATCTCAAAAAAATAAATAAATAAACAAACAAATAAAAAGAATGTAAAGGCTGAAGCCATCTTTTGATCCTAACAGGAGAGTCTGCATTGCTAAGACAGAAACCAGATCCTGATGACACTATTTGAACCCTCTCTATTCAGCCATACCTGATGCCAGCCTTACTTTTACGTGTCTGGTGACCGTGCAAGACTCCATCTCAAAAAAAAAAAAAAATAGTAGTATTGCTGTTGCTTTGACTGTAAATATTATTCAATGATGAGCCAAGGAATTTATGACTGTTTTCTTTCCTTATTTGGGTTGTTGTTTTGGGGTTTTTTGGTTTTGTTTTTGCTTTTCCTGGTGTTAGTGATTGCTTTTCTTTTTTTAAATATTTAAATATTTTTAAATCTCTGCATATCTATCCAACTATTTTTTAAAATTTGTGAAATGCTCAATATTATTCTCAAAAGATCAAACATATCATAATTTATAGATTTTATTTTTGTTGTTAAGACTTCTTTTCTTACTGATACTCTGTTTTTGTTTGTTTTGAGATGGAGTCTCGCTCTGTCACCCAGGCTGGAGTGCAGTGGTGTGATCTCAGCTCACTGCAACCTCTGCCTCCTGGGTTCAGGCGATTCTCCTGCCTCAGCCTCCTGAGTAGCTGGGACTACACGCACATGCCACCACACCCAGCTAATTGTTGTATTTTTAGTAGAGTCCGAGTTTCACCATATTGGCCAGGCTGCTCGCAAACTCCTGACCCTGTGATCTGCCCACCTCGGCCTCCCAAAGTGCTGGGATTACAGGCATGAGCCACTGTGCCCAGCCTACTCTGTTATTTTTTTATCTGCCAGTTGCTGGTAAGTTCCAGGGTAGAGTGATAAACTGGCAAAACAAACTTTTTATTTCTGGACTCCAAATAGCACCATAAAAAAAGGTTATTTTCTGGGACCATTGAGTCTCTTGAAAGAATACTCCAGTATCTGCTTAGGAGTTATTCCAAGAGCAGGGCTGGAGAAAAATTGGAGGATGAGGAGCCACTATTCAGCATACAGACTTTTGTTTAATCTGCTTCGTTTAAGCACTGTGCTTTACTTCCAATTTCCAAAGTACCATATACCTCCAAGTTTTGAACCTCTCCTTCACTCAAGGACCTTCTACCTTGCAAAAATACATCTACCTTGTAGGTTTGTAACTTTATTCCTTTGTTTTATTTCAATGAGTGTTTTGGAAGGGAGATAAGTACATGCGGTCAATTCGTCGTGCTTTTACAGACTATTTTTCTCAAACTTGTTTAACTCAGGAATTAGTCTTGCAGGGTCTAATTTTCATAAAGTCATTTATTTTTGCATCTCACTCCATGCTTCTCAGTTGCATTTCCTTCTTATGAAGTATATATCTATATATATCTATATATATCTATATCTATCTTTTGGAGTTTAGAGTGAGGGTATATGAGTAGAAAACTCCTCATTTTTGTCAGTTTCTTCAACAGCTTTATGGTTTATTATAAGGTGGACATCCTTGTAATCACTTCCTAAACCAAGAAAATCGAACTTTGTCAGCCACACCAGAAGCCTGTCCATGTGCTCCATCCCAATCACAAACTCCTTTCACCCCCATCACTACCCTGACTTTTTAAATAACCACTTCTTTTTGCATTTAAGTATATCCCTAGACATTATAGTCTTGCTCATTAATTTAATGTCTTTTATGCCTCCTTTAAGCTATAGGTTCTATTTCTTCCCCCCCCCCCACTTATAATATATATATTGAATAACCCAGTTGTTTACTTTGCAGGGTTCCCCATGGTCTGGATTTTGCAGATTGCACACTCATGGCATATTTCAATATGCTCCTTTGTCCTCTATTTCTGTAAACTGGCAGTTGGATCAAGAAGCTTGAGCACACTCAGGTTTAATCCCTTTGGTAAAACTACACGTTACTATGAATTTATATATTTAAACATATACGATGGGTTTCAGTCCATTCTAATTATTACCTTTATTGAAACTCAAATTGTCCTATCCATGGCCAATAGGAGCCTCTTCTAGTTGGCTGGGTCCTTTGGACATGACTCCAGAAGTCTTTAATCATTTCTCTGCTCTCTAGTATAATAAGATATTTCGTGCTCATTCCATACATTTCCTGCCCTAAACCTAGAACCCCTTGTTTCTTTTAGTGGGACTTGGCATTTCATACTATATATCTATATATCTATATACATATAGATATATGTATATAGTCATGTGCTGCATAACGACATTTTGGTCAACAATGAATGTCATATACCACTGTGATCCCACAAGATTATAACAGAGCTGAAAAATTCCTATTGCCTAATGACATCTTTATTTCATTTTATTTTGAGACAGGGTCTTGCTCTGTCACCTAGGCTGGAGTACAGTGTCGCAATCACTTAGTGACATTTTGATGATCCTGACCCTGTGTAGTCCTAGGCTAATGTGTGTTTGTGTCTTCATTTGTAACAAAAAAAGCTTAAAAAGTAAAAAAAAATAATAATTATCAAAAACTTTAAAAATAAAAAGCTTATAGAATAAGGATACAAAGAATATTTTTGTACAGTTGTACAATGTGTTTGCGTTTTAAGCCAAGTGTTATTACAAAAGAGTTGAAAAGTTTTTAAAAAATCAAAAACTTTATAAGGTAAAATGTTGCAATAAACTAAAGGTAATTTATTATGGAAGAAAAAAAATTTTAAATAAATTTAGTGTAGCCTAAGTGTACAGTTTTGTATCAAGTCTTCAGTAGTGTGCAGTGATGTCCAAGGCCTTCACATTCACTCACCACTGACTCACCCACGGCAACTTCCAGTCCTGCAGGCCCCATTTATGGTAAGTGCCCTACACAGGTGTATCATTTTTAACCCTTTATACTGTATTTTTACTGTATTCTCTATGTTTTGATATATTTAGATGTACAAATACCACTGTGTTACAACTGCCTGCAGTAATCAGTACATTAATATGCTGTACAGGTTTGTAGCCTGGGAGCAATAGGCTATACCATATAGCCTAGGTATATAGTAGGCTGTACCATATAGGTATGTGTAAGTAGTACAGTCTATGGTGTTCCCATAAGGACAAAGTCGCCTAATGATGCATTTCTTAGAACATATCCCTGTTGTTAAGTGATTCATGACTCTGAGAGTGTGTGTGTGTGTGTGTGTGTGTGTGTGTGTGTGTGTAATGTTAGGACACATATATATATGTATTTCAGAAAAAAATTTTTTTGAATTATAATGTGTTATAATTAGTTCTGTTACCTGTCTTGGGTTTTCTTTATCAAGAACTTCTAATCTATATGTTGGATCTTCTTTGCCTATTTTCAATATTTATCATTTCTCTCAAATTATTTCTGTTTACATTTATTTTTGATTAAAAAACTCATTTTCAAATTGTAGTTCTTTTCAGACACTATTGTATTTTCTTATTCTTTTATTCCTTGTATTTTAGTCCTCTTTTCTGAAATCAGTTTTTCTTTTATTTCTAACTCTTTCCCAAGTTCTGTTACTTCATTCCTGAGTTTTTCTTCTGGCTTGTTTTGCTGTTTCATGTTTCATATCATTTTATATCTTTACAGTGACACTGTGCCAGGTGTTACAGAAACAGTGGTATTCAAAACAAAGTCCATGTCTCCAATAATCATATTTCACTCATTCCAAGCCACATTTATTTCTTTGTTTCTGTTTCTCTTTCTTCCCTCACCCCAACTTGGAATGCTTGTTTAAACATTAAAATTTTCTCATAGTTGATTTTAAAATGAAATCTGTAAGGGTAAACTTTTCTAGCTATAGGCTACCATAATCTTTCCCTTATTTTGAATTCTTGAATAAGTTTTCAGTTTTCTTGACAGTCTGTCCCTTGAACCTAGATCATTAGCTTTTTAAGGAAAAAAATTATGGCTTTTTATATCTCCCAGAATAAAGCCAACAATGACTCTGGGGCTGGGCGTGGTGGCTCACACCTGTAATCTCAGTACTTTGGGAGGACAAGGCGGGTGGACTGCTTGAGCTCAGGAGTTTGGGACCAGCCTGGGCAACACAGTGAGACCCCCATCTCTACAAAAAATGAAAAAAATGAGCCGGGGGCAGTGGCACGTGCCTGTAGTCCCAGTCACTCGGGCTGAGGTGGGAGGATAGTTTGAACCTGGGAGGTCAAAGCTACAGTGAGGAGTGCCTACACTGCTGCACTCCAGCCTAGGTGACAGAGTGAGACCCTGTCTTTAAAAAAACAAAGAAAGAAAAAAAAAAAGAATGACCCTGGGCATTGTTGGAACTCAGAAAACCATACCCCAAAATGAAGACCTCAGAAGCAAAAGATTTTTCCCACCTTCTCCAACCCTCCTGTCTCAATCCCATTCTTCCCCCCACCCCCACCCACAAGGCTAGTCATAGAAACTGGAATCCGTCTTTCCCAAAGCAGGGCATAGAAACCAAAACCCCACCCTTTCCCAAAGCCAGCCACAAACCTAAAAATATTACTCTAACCTCCCTGCACCCCTTTCTGTGCAAATATTGGACATAGAGAAATTATCTGGCAGAGCGCAGTGGCTCACGCCTGTAATCCCAGCACTTTGGGAGGCCGAGGCGGGTGGATCACCTGAGGTCAGGAGTTCAAGACCAGCCTGGCCAACATGGTGAAACCCCGTCTCAACTAAAAATACAAAAAAAATTAGCTGGGCGTGATGGCGGGCGCTTGTAATCCCAGCTACTTCGGGAGGCTAAGACAGGAGAATCACTTGAACCTGGGAGGGGGAGGTTGCAGTGAGCCGAGATCGCACCATCGCACTCCAGCCTGGGCGACAAGAGCAAAACTCTGTCAAAAAAAAAAAAAGAAGGAAAAGAAAAATTATCTGACCTACCTTGTTTAACTGTTGTAGGCCACAGCCCCCATTCCAGAGGGTCCTGTTCCATACCCAGAAGGAATGAATGCTGCAGACAGGCCAAGGAGAATCCAGATAGGCCTTGCTGGGTTTCTTGCCTGTTTGCATCAGAGTGTTTTTTGTCCAGTCATTTTTTTTGAGACGGAGTCTCGCTCTGTCGCCCAGGCTGGAGTGCGGTGACGCAATCTCGGCTCACTGCAAGCTCCGCCTCCCGGGTTCACGCCATTCTCCTGCCTCAGCCTCCTGAGTAGCTGGGACTACAGGCGCCCGCCACCACGCCTGGCTAATTTTTAGTATTTTTAGTAGAGACGGGGTTTCACTGTGTTAGCCAGGATGGTCTCGATCTCCTGACCTTGTGATCCGCCCGCCTCAGCCTCCCAAAGTGCTGAGATTACAGGCGTGAGCCACCGCGCCCGGCCTTGTCCAGTCATTTTTTTATACGGCTGTCCATGCTTTGTTGAACCTAAGCATACAAATACACGATTTCCCTTGTTATCTTTGGGTCTTCATTCTGAAGGCTCCCGTGTCACATAAAACGATGGTCAAATCAATGTCTATGTCTTTTCTCCTATTAACTGCCTCCTGTCAGTGACTTTCAGCGAAACTTCAGAAGGTGAAGCGGAAGTTTTCCTTTGGCCCGGACAGCATCATCATTAATATCATTAATAAATATTCCCACAGTATTTGGCCCTTGTATGTCCTTTGTATGGTGCTGGGGATACAATAACATATCGCTGCAGAGATTTTCAAATGTAAAAGAAGAGAGATTATACTGATTTAAAAGCTAGATTCTGTCCTCACCCTGGAGCTAGTCTGCATTTACGAAAACTTACTTTCCACTGCGGTAGACAGACGCTTTCTACTCCAGCGCAACTGTGCCTTTCCTCAAATCTAGTCTCAAATTTAGGTTCCTTTTCATTTTCTGTTATGGAAAGGCCCTCAGCGTATCCCAGGCTTTGGAGCCTTTTGTTAGTAGTCTGGCCCATGCATAATTTCCCCTTCCTCTGAATTATACATAGCACCTCACTAGTTATATTTTAATACACTTTCCTATGTCTCAGTGGTAGTTTCCTATATTAATATATATCCCAGTTTAGTTTGGCTTTTAATTTCTTTTCTTCTAAGGGGATAGATGCGTTCTGTACCACCTTCTCGAGTACTAATGGTTAACTGGAATGAACACAAGCAACAAACCCTCCGGCCTGGATCCCAAAACAACAGTCGCGGTTCTGCAACAGAAAAGGCTGCGCTGGCCCTGGGACCTGTCTCGGAAATACTCCTCATCCATCTAGTTTCTCCCAGGACAACTAGGCCCAACCCCACGGGAATATACAGAGAGGCCTCGGGTCACAGACTTAAAGCTGTAAAAGGGAGGAGGCGACGGTCTGGTCCCAGTCACCGACCAGCCACCGACTACTAGGGCCCGAACCCGGGACTGCAGACGCACCTCCCCGCCCTCCCTTCCCAGCTCCGCCTGGCGGCGGGCGTTGCTCCTGAGGGGCGGGGCTTCCGCTTCCGGCGGGGGATTGTTGACGCCTGCGGTTGCTGCGGTGGTGACGGGGCTGTTGGGGAGGGGCCATTGGGGGAGGGAAACGGAGCAGTGACAGGTATCCCAGAGGGTGCTGCTGAGGCGACGATGGCCGAGGGGCCCGAGGAAGCCCGAGGCCACCCTCCCGGGCAGGACGATGGCGGAGGGGACCACGAGCCCGTCCCTTCCCTGAGAGGCCCTCCTACCACCGCCGTCCCATGCCCCCGCGACGACCCCCAGGCCGAACCCCAGGCCCCGGGCCGGCCCACAGCCCCGGGCCTCGCGGCTGCCGCCGCAGCCGACAAATTGGAGCCGCCGCGCGAGCTCAGGAAGCGCGGGGAGGCGGCCTCCGGCTCCGGTGCAGAGCTGCAGGAGCAGGCGGGCTGCGAGGCGCCCGAAGCCGCGGCGCCACGAGAGAGACCAGCTCGGCTGAGCGCCCGCGAGTACTCCCGGCAAGTGCACGAGTGGCTGTGGCAGTCCTACTGCGGCTACCTCACCTGGCACAGCGGCCTGGCCGCCTTCCCAGCCTACTGCAGCCCCCAGCCCTCCCCGCAGAGCTTCCCTTCGGGCGGCGCTGCAGTCCCCCAGGCCGCGGCGCCGCCGCCCCCGCAGCTGGGCTATTACAACCCCTTCTACTTCCTGAGCCCCGGGGCCGCGGGGCCTGACCCGCGGACAGCTGCCGGCATCAGCACCCCTGCTCCAGTCGCGGGCCTGGGACCCCGGGCTCCTCACGTGCAGGCGTCGGTCCGGGCCACTCCAGTGACGAGGGTAGGATCCGCAGCCCCTTCGCGAAGCCCGAGCGAGACCGGGCGACAGGCAGGTGAGAAGCGCGAGGTGGAGGCTGGGCGGAGTAGAAGGGTTTTCGGGGGCCTGTGGGGTAGAGCTGGCACGCTTTTTAGACCTGTAACTGCTGCTTCTACTCTGATTGACTATCCTGCCCGTTCAGTTCACTAGCTATCGTTTGTCCAGGCCCTAAATTCCCAAAATGTACAAGGAGGCAATACAGTTTCTTCTTCCTTTAGACCTGGCACTCCAAATTGACTCCCTTACTCATGGGACTAGTTGTTTATTCGTGAAAAGAAATTGCTCTTCAAACCATCCTCTTCCTTTGGTTTTCACGCTCTGCAGTGAGGGCCAAAGCTAAATTCGCAAATGGCAAACCCACTTTTGGAGGGGCTCGACTGGTAATGCTGAAAATTATTCAGACATTGGCTACTTAGGACAGTGGAACTGAACGGATATAAAAGGAGATCGACATGGATACAAGTGGAGTTAGGAAGTTTTGATTGGGTCAAAGCTTCACTTCATTTGATCAATATCTTGTATATTGTGTAATTGTTTTTGCTTCTGTGTGTGAACTAGAATATTTTGAATTAGTTACACTTCTTAGTTTACTATTTAAACTATTAGACTTTTAGTTTATTTTAGTTAGCCACAGATAGATGGGACAAGAACTAGTTGATGCCTCTGATCCCAGTCAGAATTTAGGATGACAGATTGATACTCACTGGGTTTATTTTAAAGAAAGCAAAACAAACTAAAAAACGGGTGGGGGGGGATTACAGGGATTTACTTTATACTAATTGCCAATATTTAACCTTGATTTGTACTAAAAAATGTTTAATTTTGTGTGACTTAGATGTGATCACCTGGATTCTCCTCATTAGAATTCCTAGTGAAATGTAGTGGGTACCCTAATCAAATTTATCTGTGAAATCAGTTTTCTAGGGGGAAAGTGGGGAGGGTGGGGACAAGGTCTGCTTCTATCGCCCAGCCTGGATAGTGCAGTGGCGATCTTGGCTCCCTGCAGCCTCCGCCTCCCAGGTTCAAGCCGTCCTGCCACCTCAGCTTCCCTAGTAGCTGGGACTAAAGGCATGCGCCACCACGCCCGGCTAATTTTTGTATTTTTTGTTGAGACGGGGTTTCGCCATGTTGGCCAGGGCCAGACTGGTCTCGAACTCCTGGCCTCAAGCAATCTGCCCGCCTCGGCCTCCTAAAGTGCTGGGATTACAGACGTGAGTCACTGCACCTGGCCGTGTGAAATCAATTTTTAAACGTTAAGGTGATGAAAGCAAACTTTAAGCTCAGTAAATAGTGGATTCTCTGTTACTCTATTTTAGTAACATGGATTCTTGGTGGAATCAATATCAATAGTTGCTGCACGGTTATAAATATTTTTTATTAAGTTGTACCTTGACTTTCTTTAGCAATTCATTACATGGCTTGTGTTCCAAGGCTTATGTGAAATGATTCGTTTTTCCTAACTTTTTTTTTTTTTTAATTTACAGGCAGAGAATATGTTATTCCATCCTTGGCCCACAGATTTATGGCAGAGATGGTGGATTTCTTTATTCTCTTCTTTATAAAAGCAACCATTGTCTTAAGCATTATGCACCTCAGTGGGATAAAGTAAGTTGAGGACATTTGCAGAAGGGTTTTAATTTCTACTGTTTAATGATCTTGTTTTATTACATTCTGTTTGTCTACACGTGACTATATGGATAATGGGCTTGTCAGTGTCATGATTTCTTTATAAGAGCTTTGTTAGATTTATTGTTTTCTTGTTGATTTTAAGAAATAACTAGAAAGGAAAAAAAATAGCTTACTGAATTCTATAAGATGTGTGGGAATCTCACCTATCAAAAATAGGTAAAAAGAGCCTCCAAACCTGCTTTGATTTTATTCACCTATTCTTTTAGGCCAGGAACTAATTTACCTCTCACTATCCTGTTCCCTCTTGCTATCTTGTGGAGTCTCTAAAGACAAAGGTATAAAGAGCTTTTGGTAGGTGAATTAATAATCAACTAGATGGCATTTCCAAATGGGATTGCACATACTGTGGGGCAAGTCCCAAGTGAACTTCAAAGTGAGACGTTTATTTGAGTAATCCTTCCAGATTAACAATAATCATAATAGCAGTTACCACTTCCTGAGTACTTTCTATATGCCATGTATTGAGCTTGCTCACTTCTTTATGTGGATTCTTATTTAATCTTAATACCAAGATGAGGTGTAGAGATTAATACCACCATTTTATAGAGTTTGAAATTTGGGTTTATGAAAAGTTGAGCACAGAACCTAAAATGTTACAAAGGTAGTAAGTGACAGAGTCAAGATACAAGCCTGTGCAGTCAAATTTCAGGGTCCTTGCCAGAAACCTGTTACTGTGATTCCTCCCTGTCCCTCCCTCTCACTCCACTCCACATCCAGTGAAATACCAACTCCTTTATGTTCAATTTTCTGAATAGCTTTCAACCCCAGACCTCCTCACTGCCAGATCATTTTTCTTTTTTTGAGACAGAGTCTTGCTCTGTCACCCAGGCTGGAGTGCAGTAGTACAATTATGGCTCACTGCAGCCTTGATCTCCTGTGCCCAAGTGACACTCCCACCTCAGCCTCACAAGGAGCTGGGACCACAGGCATGCTCCACCATGCCTAGCTAATTAAAAAAAAAAATTGTTTTTTGTAGAGATGGGGTCTCCCTATGTTGCCCAGGCTGGTCTCAAACTCCTGGGCTCAAATGATCCTCCTGCCTTAGCTTCCCAAAGTGCTGAGATTACAAGCATGAGCCACCACACCTGGCCCATTTTTTATCATCATTGCTTCTCCCTACTCCGATTACTGTCGTCTCTTGCTTGGATTATAGCAGAAGCCTTCTAGTGGTAACTCAGTCTCCTGTTTTATCTCAATCCAGTCTCTGATATAAAACCAAAGTGATCATAAATCCTGGTTCTGTTCCTTTCCTACCTTAAAACCCTTCAATGGTTTCTCTTTTTAAAATGTTTATTGTTTTTTTAGAGATGGGGTCTGTGTTGCCCAGGTTGCTTTCAAAATCCTAGGCTCAGGCGATCCTCCCACCTCAGCCTCCCAAAGTGCTGGGATTACATGCGTGAGCCACCATGCTCAGCCCCTTCAATGGTTTCTCTTTACCAGCAGGATAAAGTCTGAATTTCATCATGTGGTTTATACTCAGGAGGCTGTCTCAACCTCCCAAGTAGGTGGGACTGCAGGTGCATACCACCACACCCTGCCTTTATTTCTTAATCACTGCCACCTCTCACATTTAGTATATGAGCCACACCAAACTGCTTACAGCTTCTATCATATTCTCTCTTTCTCCAAGACATTCTCTCCTGCTGTTCCCTCTTTCTGGAACGTTATTTCCTCTTCTTAGTCTGGCTAACTTCTCTTCATCCTTCAGAGCCTCATCTAACTGTCTTTTCTGGGAAACCTTCACAAGGTTAAGTGTATCTGGTGTATGTTTCCATAGTATCCTAGGTTCCCCATCACAGCACTCATCCCACTTTATTATTGCTATTTATTTATTGTTCTGTTTTCTTTGCTAGGTTAGACCCTCCACGAAAGCAGGGACCGTGTAAATTCATTCACCCTTATTTCCCCCGTGCTAGTACAGTGTCTGCTCATGATAATGCTGCTTATTTGTTGAATAAACTAATGAATGCTTTATGATACTAGATGGTTGGGAATCTAAAGATTAGTTTAGAATTTCAATTAAAATGTATGACTTGCACTAATGAAAAAAAAGTCAGTGCTACTGTTCTGGTAACTAATTATTTATAACCCCAAACTATTATTTTGTGTAGGGATATCTCTAAGTTTGCTATGCATTATATAATAGAAGAAATAGATGAAGACACATCAATGGAAGACTTGCAGAAAATGATGGTTGTGGCACTTATATACAGATTATTAGTTTGTTTCTATGAGGTAAGCTACTGACTTCAGCAAGAATTAATATTTAACAATCTAATTTTATGTTTTTACATTTATTTTTTTGAGACAGAGTCTCGCTCTGTCACCCAGGCTGGAGTGCAGTGGTGTGATCTTGGCTCACTGCAACCTCTGCCTCCTGAGTTCAAGTGATTCTCCTGTCTCAGCCTCCTGAGTAGGTGGGACTACAGGTGCATACCACCACACCTGGCTAATTTTTGTATTTTTAGTAGAGACAGGGTTTTGCCATGTAGGCCAGGCTGGTCTCAAACTCCTGGCCTCAGTGATCTGCCCACCTTGGCCTCCCAAAGTGCTGGGATTACAGGCATGAGCCACTGCACCTAGCCAACAATCTAATTTTAGATTATCAGCCCAAGACGAAAAAGTAATCGAAATTTATAATTATTCATGTCTTTTCCACATGTCTACTTTTCTGTTTTTTTTCCCAAATTTTAACTAATCATTAAGTAAAAACTTTTGGAAGAGAGACATTTTACAATTTCTTTGTAATATTTTTCAGTCTTAGAAACTCAAATAAAATTTCACTTATAGATTGTGGTCCAAAAATATACTTGTAAATTGCAATGTAGTTTTCTGCAGAAGCAGCTTACTAGAAAGTATAGTAGTCATAGAGAAATATTACAGGAGACAGACATCTTGTGGTATTGGACATGTTAGAGACCTACAGAAATGCATAAAGTTAAATGGTTAACTTTTGAGTATTCTATGCAATTCTTTCAACTTGAAAAATTTAAAACATGAAATAATATGGTGGGAAAAGTTTATCTTTAAAATTGGTATAGTTGAGCCAGTAATTTTTAAATCATCCTTCTTTCCTTAGATAATTTGCATTTGGGGAGCAGGTGGAGCTACCCCAGGGAAGTTCCTGCTGGGGCTTCGAGTTGTGACATGTGATACATCAGTGCTTATTGCACCAAGTCGGGTTTTAGTGATTCCTTCCTCAAATGTTAGCATTACAACGTAAGTCCTTTTCTTAGCTTAATCTACTACATACTTAATGAAAATAATGTGTTTTAGAATATTGGGGTTTTTTTCTTCATAGTAGATAGGCTTATATTTATTAAGTTAAAACAAAGTTTGAATATTTATTTCAGTTGTGTTACATGATTGTAGACCTCTTTTACAGTACACATTTTCAAGATGATTTTTTTTTTTTTTTTTTTGTGAGACGGAGTCTCACTCTGTTGCCCAGGCTGGAGTGCAGTGGCACAGTCTCGGCTCACTGCAGGCTCCGCCTCCCAGGTTCACGCCATTCTCCTGCCTCAGCCTCCCGAGTAGGTGGGACTACAGGTGCCCGCCACCACGCCCGGCTAATTTTTTGTATTTTTAGTAGGGACGGGGTTTCACCGTGTTAACCAGGATGGTCTTGATCTCCTGACCTCATGATCCACCCGCCTCCGCCTCTCAAAGTGTTGGGATTACAGACGTGAGCCACCATGCCCTGCCTCAAGATGATCATTTTATGAATTATAAGTCACAATACGAGAGGATGATTTGGGTGTTGATGGTGTATTAGTGCTCCACAATCAGCTTTATTATTCTTTGGACCTGTGGATGTTAGGTCAGGTACTAGTCTGCCTTGAGTCTCCATTTGGCCATGCCTGTCATTATTCCATCTTGAATAGGCAGCAGAGTTTTGACAGCTATGCATTCGTGCATCCTTCTCCTGCTGTTAGGTGAGAGCTTGTAATACTGCCAGTATTCAAGGTTAGCTGTTGGCATCTAGCGCTGGGGGAAGGTACAACCAGTGATAATGGAAACTGTGGAGGTCAGTGGCTGGTAGTCAGTTGAGCCAAACAAGGTATTGGCTGCAATTTTTGCCAGAATGATTCAGAGCTGGATTGTTACATCAAGAAATATAAACAAGTGATTCTAGAAACCTTGGTTTTGCCATCTTCAAATTTTTCTTAAAATTTGGTAGTTATAGCCGGGCACAGTGGCTCACGCC
Source organism: Homo sapiens (assembly GCF_000001405.40). Taxonomy (NCBI): domain Eukaryota; kingdom Metazoa; phylum Chordata; class Mammalia; order Primates; family Hominidae; genus Homo; species Homo sapiens. Next base: position 17,607,002 of record NC_000006.12, read on the forward strand.
TGTAATCCCAGCACTTTGTGAGGCTGAGGTGGGCAGATCACGAGGTCAGGAGATCGAGACCATCCTGGCTAACATGGTGAAACCCCGTCTCTACTAAAAATACAAAAAATTAGCCGGGCGTGGTGGCGGGCCCTGTAGTCCCAGCTACTCAGGAGGCTGAGGCAGGAGAATGGCATGAACCCGGGAGGCAGAGCTTGCAGTGAGCTGAGATTGCACCACTGCACTCCAACCTGGGCGACAGAGCAAGACTCCATCTCAAAAAAAAAAAAAAACAAAACAAAACTGGTAGTTATAAACCTACCTACTTCTTTTAATAAGAGTCAGTAATGGCTAATGTTTATTGAGTACTTTTTATATACCTGCACTGTTAATAACACTGCATATGTATTAATTTAATGCTAACAACCTCATAAGATAGAGACTATTGATCTATATCTATAGTATCATAAGATACTATAGGTAGTCTCTATCTATATACTATAGGTAGTATCTATATACTATAGGTAGTATCTATATACTATCTATAGTATCATAAGATAGATACTATTGTTCCCTTTTTGCAGATGTGGAATACAACTAGTAATTGGTAGACGATGGATCTGAATTTAACTAGTCTGGATTCAGAACCCACACTCCTAGCCACTGTACTTTTCTGCAGCCCTTCAGTGCACTAAAAGGCAGAAATCTAACATAAGTAGGATAATTCTCCATCCTGAGTGATTGTTGAAAGCTTTTAAAAGCTTTGCTTAATCACTGGATCCCACAAAGGAAAATGCTGATTAAAGAACACACAGTACTTTAAAATGCATGTTTTTTCTATAAGGTAGACAAATGGGACTACAGTAAGCATACTCAGAAAGTACTCAGAATTAATGTTCATTTCTTCTGAGAAAATACTAGAAAGCTCTGTAAACCATTAATTCAATATTCTGAGACATGTTTATTACTGCTTTTTATGTTGTTGAAGTCTTATTAGAAATAGCCCAGGTGGTTTGATCATGATACAGTGCTACTTGAAAATATATCAAAGGTAAAAATTCTCTCAACTATACCTTGAATGTCTTTTTCCCTGTAGACTTCTGTAGAGAAGTACAATTGTGTTTTAAATGTCTATTTTGAACTTGATGGGATACCATTAATCTATATGTGGTTTGATGTGTAACTTACCTGATATTTTTGTTTTAACTTTTTAGGTCCACTATCCGAGCTTTGATCAAGAATTTTTCAATTGCTTCTTTTTTCCCTGCTTTCATCACACTGCTGTTTTTTCAGCATAATCGAACAGCTTATGACATTGTAGCAGGAACCATTGTGGTAAAAAGAAATGGGGTCAGATGATGCCCCCCAAAACCCTGATTTCCACACACTAAGACTAAATTATGTATCAAGGCCATCAGTATCCCTGGGTTACACTAATTGATGATTTAGAAATTAAAGCAGTCACTCCAGTGTGATGCAGGTGACTACTCTGAAAGTATTGATTATACTTGAATGCCAAAGAACTTGTCCAGAAGAAAAACCTGTTAAATTCAAGTATTAAAATTTTTAGATCAAAAAGGCAAATGATTTTATAAACAATGGACAATATATACTTTCTTAAGATCTAAGGTACTTTCTTAAGATCTAAGAATTTGCTGAAAGCATTTTCAGCTTTGAAATCTCCAAATGAAACTTTAAAATTTATTTTGGTTTATCCCAAAATAATGGAAAATGTCCAGTTGTGTTTTGTAAACACCTATGTAACTCATCTTTTAGTTTACACTTCCTGGGGAAATTGTCTTTGGTGTTTAGAGGAGGGAATGAGAACACAAATTGGATAATCCACTGTCTCCCATCCCAGGAGGTGGTGAGTTGGCTACAAGAGAAAGGGACAAGTGAGGCAGGCCTAGCAGTTCCCTTACCTGAAGTTTTCAAATCCATACTGCAGTTCCCTCTCGTAATGATGTAACTTTACAACTATTCTTAATGCTTGAACATGTATTTAGGGGCAAGTTTCTCATGATGATGAAAAAGTATCAAGTCATATTGCTATGTTAATTGGTTTTTTTTTTTAAAAGGTAAGTTAGTGATTACTGTTAATGGTGGGGGAGTAAGTTTTCACTGTAAATTGAACTTATAATTTATGTGCAAGTGTTTTCAGTGCCCTGAATCAAACTATAAATGTGGGGAGAAATCACCTCCATCAAACAGTTGCATATTTACTGTAAAAGTATTCCCAGTATGTGTGCAGCATGAAGAAAGTATTAGTGCTTCTCAGTGTTCTCAGTGTAAATTCTATTTATATACAGCATATTCACATACTACTTTCCTTATATTTTATATAGTTCTATGACTGTTGAAACATCAAGGAGTTAAAAAAATCTTAATATTTCATGATTAACTCTAAGTACTATTAATTAATAGCTTGCGAAATATTAGCAATTTTCCCATTATGGACTATTCTCTCTAAAGCAAGAGAGACTAGCATTCCCAGACATCATTCTAGGGTCTTTAAGCTCATTTTGGGTCTGCTAAAGTTTGGGGGGAAATGTTACGCAAAGTGATACTGTGTATGTTGCCATTTTGCTTTATTCTTCTGTTGAAGCAAAATTGTGGGGTTTTATTATGTGTGTGTGCTTTTCCTAGATGTCCCAGTTAGCTGTGCTGAGATATACCTGTACTATTTATGGTTTAAGTTTTGATTCTTAGGTATTTTCTCCAGCTCTGACATTGTTTTCCAAAGACACACTAAACTGCATTGCACAGTTCAAAATTTGATTACTTAAGGGATCAATCTAGGTGGTGTTCTTGGTCTTAAATTTAACAGCAAACACAGCACATATCTATTATCACTATATTAATTTTCAAAGGTTTTTCTTTGACGTTTAAAACTGTGACAACAGATATTCACATTTGATTATAGAAACTTAATGTCTATTAATAATTTTAGTACAAAATTTCATAAACCGTGTTTTTCAAAATAAGTTTATGTCAAATCCAGCTTCCCAGAAACACTAATAATTAAGTACATCAATGTACTAAATAAATCATTCAGTTGCACCCATGGGGAAGATTGTGTTACTGCCCTTCACAGTGAAAAAAAGAAAAATCTTTCATTTTTAAAATTAGGAGATGTTACGTAACTTGGCACTTTAGTAGTGTATACACTAGCATTAGTTTATACACCACTTTTGCCGCTGGGGAATTCAAGTTGAAATGTCCCTCAATCATATAGGTCTGGAATACATCTTTCATTCATAATTTCTGCTCAGATAATTGAATAGTTTGCCATCGAGATTATTTTCATTTATACTATAAAACAAAAGCAAACTAGTCCAGTTTAATTTTTTGTACTTAGAATATTGCACATTTTCTATATATGAGTTATTCAGATTAGTATCTATGTAGGTTCAGTCAGATCCAACCATGGATTCGAGGTATTATACTGTATAACCCTACAAAATACATAGAAGTATTATTTGCCTTCATAATAGAACCCAAGAGTCTGTTTCAATTTATGAATTCAGTATTTGCACCGAGATTTTGATTCCCAAAGTTTGGAAAAAAATGACAAAACAACGAGGGAAGAAGGAACCAGACCTTAGTGCCACATATTTTTCTCTTGGGGTTGTAAGGTAGTCTCCTGCTTTCCAGAACACTTTATTATATTTCACTTATAGACCTGATTTTCTGTGTCAAAGTATAATTCTCATGCTGAAGCTGTAGCCTAAAAAGCCAAAAGAAAGTTGTCTTCATTGTACAAACATATTCATCACTTTAACAATAAGGGAACAAAATTTAGTATTCAAGCTGAGTGAGAATACTGTTTCAATGAGCATGTCCCTAAGATAAACCAGAATTGGCAGTTAATTTAGGCGTCTAGAAAATCTCAGTTCCCACCAGTAAAATTATCCTGAGTAGCTAATGCACCTTGAGAAAAATCTGGCATACTGAATAAATAACATTAACTTGGGAGCCAAGAGCTGGGTAAGCCTTACCTTTAGACTACTCTGTGACTACAGAAATAAAGCCAGCACTTTTGGAACTAATAAGCCTTCACTTGTCAGTATCATAAAGAGTATTGCCCAACTGAACTTTGCTCCCACTGGTTTAATAGTTACTTATTTCTGCCTAAGCACTCACCTTCCGATTTTACCCAAGTATATATATAGGATAGAAAAAAATGCATTATATTTGAGAGCTACTTCGCCCAAATTACAAAATGAGTGTTTTTAGATTCAAGTGACAGTAAAAGGATTTGTTCCCTTCAGTGACTTGAGTGTTTTAGTTATGCATAAGTATTTCTAGCAAAGGAAGGGTAGAAAGGAATTGAAAATTAATTTACACTAGTTGCTACTTGGGAATAAAGGGCTTTTTGAGGGGGGTATGGATATTAAATGTTTTCGTTATATACTTATCCCTATTAAAACAGGCAGTTGTTTCTTTGAATATGCCTAAATAACAGTATTCTTAAAATCTGACAGACAAGTAACATGTCAATTACTTGATATTCCTTGTCTCCAGTACCACAGGCCACTCTTGACATCCCATGTTTGCCTGGATAAAGTTCCTCATTTCAAACAGTATACATACTTCTTTGCAGTTCATTATAGTAAGGCTTAACCTGTAAACAGTATCTGATGGCCCACCTATAAATAAAATTCAGCATTCTATTTTTAATAATTTGTATGCCACCAATTTGTATTATTTGTCTCAATAAATACTTAGTCATCAATGCATCTGTATTTTGTCTATTTCTTTGAGACAGTTTGCTCTAGAATCTGCTTAGGGAGACCTTGCCTCCAAATACAGGTTTTCCAGTGGGTTTAGCAGTAAACTAGAATGCTTTCAGAAATAGAGATCTATGAAAAAAGAATCGCCCATCTTTAAGGATATATTCTTTTAGCAGGCACACTCAGAAGTTACCTGTACATGAATTAAGCTTACTATTAAACTAATCCAGTCCTTCAAGAGTTGTTAACCATCACAACCACCACACAAGTCTCATCTGGGCAATTTAAACCCAGTTCTGACCTTAAAAGCCTTTCCCATTCTAACAACTTTTATGAACAGGTCCAGAGAGAAGGCAGGAAGCAAAACAACGGGTTCCTCACTCAACAGGGGCAAAGATAATAAAGGATAAACTAGACTGTAGCTAAAAGATGGTCCAAGTCCTGTAGACAATGTGCTGCTGTTATGAGCCTAGCCACAAACTTGTTTTAGAACTACAGTAGATTTTTGAGACAAGTTTACAAAGGTGCCCTATATTACAAAAGGAAGTCTCTGACCGACATGGTCATACAGCTGATGCGTGTAGCTAGACCTACTACCTCCATTTTCTCAATTTTACTAGACCAAATTTTTGTCAGTTTCCATTAAATGCACCGGCTAAAATAACCACTATAAAATTTCCATTGTATTTTACTTTTCCAAAGTAAAATAATACTTTCCAATTGAAAAGTTCTTTCCAGGCTTAACCAGCATATGGCCTGGTTATATGTTGTTAAAATTAGTTCAATAACTAATTTCAAGTAATAAAATAATAATTAGATAAACAAGTAATTTCAGAGGAGAATTTGTAACAAGTATTAATAGGCAGCTTAAAGACATTTTTCAGTGGTCTGAACCGTACCTTTTTCTCAATGCCCGGAATCGTAATTACTCAAAACCACCTAGCACTTTGCTTAAAGTGACACCCCCAAACCTCAGTGCATCAGTCTGCCAGGTGCTTATTTGATGATGCAGACTTTTGGAACCTATCCAGTCCCAGTTTCTGGTGATGGGGGTCCTAGAACATATATTTGACATACCCTGCCAACTACTACTAACGGTACATTCAGTGAGAGCCACCAGTCCTCTCGTCAATCGACCAAATTATAAAAACACCTACTTAATTATTCAATTAAACTTTCTGAACATGACTTTCCTCCCTTAGAGATTCTTTTTCATTAAAAACAATTCCTGGCTGGGTTTGGTAGCTTACACCTGTAATTGCAGCATGTTAGAAGGCAAGAGGATCATACCAAGACCCTGTCTCTATAAAAAATAAAAATCTTAGCATGGTGGCACATACCTGTAGTCCCCAGCTACTCTGAAGGCTGAGGCAGGAAGATGGCTTGAGCTTAGGAGTTGAAGGCTGCAGTGAGCTATGACAGCACCACTGCATTCCAGCCTGGGTGACAGAGGGAGACCCTGGCAATCTATCTTCATTACTCATTGGCCCAGCATAAGAAGTATGGGCTTTTATTACTTTCTTTCCAACATTTGTTTCCCTGCCATCCATAAATATCCTCAATTTTCACTTGTGTATGCAGTATACAACCCAAAGCAAGGTTGGGCATGTGGCTCACGCCTGTAATCCCAGCATTTTGGGAGGCCAAGGCAGGCGGATCACGAGGTCAGGAGGTCGAGACCAGCCTGGCCAACATGGCGAAACCCTCTGTCTACTAAAAATACAAAAACTGGCCAGGTGTGGTGGAGCACACCTGTAGTCCCAGCTACTCAGGAGGCTGAGGCAGGAGAATCGCTTGAACCCAAAAGGCGGAGGTTCCCAAGAAATAAAGTAGTCAGACTGAAAAAAGCCCCAAGTTCTGAGTGCAGTTCTATAGACTAATCAGGTTGGGGGCTAAAGATTCCATTTTTAACAAACAGATTAAGTATGGTTTTAGTGAGTTTTAAACAGTACTAAATAAAAGTAAACATCATTTCTTGCAATTTTTAGAGAAAAGCAGAACACTTCAGCGATAGGGGCCTAGAGAATGGCTAAGAACCTTCAAAGTAAGAATTAACTTCTCAGCAGTAAGACACAAATTCCCAGTTACCTCTTCCAGTATTCATCACATTTTGCCCCCTCAACAGGTGTCAAATGTATACTGCTAATAAAGCAAAATTTCTACCCCCAACCAGCATTTGATGATGGACTAAAATATCTCAAGTAAGAAAAATACCTTGAGTTCTAAATTTAAACTGCAACCAGGCCAGGCGCGGTGGCTCACGCCTGTAATCCCAGCACTTTGGGAGGCTGAGGCGGGTGGATCACAAGGTCAAGAGTTCCAGACCAGCCTGGCCAACATGGTGAAACCGTGTCTCTACTAAAAATACACACAAAAAATTAGCCGGGCATGGTGGCGGGCGCCTGTAATCACAGCTACTTAGGAGGCTGAGGCAGGAGAATTGCTTGAACCCAGGAGGCAGAGGTTGCAGTGAGCTGAGACCGCACCACTGCACTCCAGCCTGGGCGACAGAGCAAGACTCCGTCTTGGAAAAACATAAACTCCAACCAACCAGAAGTTCAGTAAATTAAAACTGAGCACAATTTAAATAACTGTACATTTCCAACTGAAAAATAAAATTACCAAATATTGTTCCAAGAGCTCTTTTATGGACCATGGGAATCCAGTTTAAAAAAAAAAAAAAGAATGCAGTAAAATAATACAAAAGAAAGTGCAGCTGACCCTTGAACAACCCGGGTTTGAACCGTGGGCCCACTTATCACGGGTTTTTTTTTTTTTTTTAACTCAACCAAAAACAGATCAAAAACACAGTATTCGTGGGATATAAAACCTGCACATTCGGAGGGCTGGCTTTTGGTATACTCAGGTTCTGCAGGGTCCACTGCTGAAATTTGTGGATTGTGGTTTGGGGGCGGGAGAACTGGGGGGGGGGGGGAGTGCAGTTCTGGGAACAATCTCCTGCACACACCAAGAGACAACTGTAGTTTTTGTGTATGTATTTCCAAGAACTTTAATAAACACTATCCAGTAACTTACCAAGGAAGATAGAAGCACAAAGAGAAATGAATGTGTGTATTTTCAACTTTTAAAAAAGGTACCTAAGTCGATATGCAAATTAGGCATGATTCCTAGCACCAGGCAAGAAGTAGGGTACCTTCTATATGTTGTGCATTCAGATACTTTCAGATACTTTCCCTTTCTCTTAGGAGTTGTCTAAATCATGTCAATGTATTCTTCTAATGAGACACTGTTAATCTTTATTTTACAAAGTCCCCCCAATAATACTGTGTGCCTTCATTATGAGGTAAAACTAGAACAAAAAGTATGTCATAATTTTTTATTGATGGCATTTATCCCATGGTTTAACATGTTAATTATACTGTAATAAACATGGCTTTAATATTAAACTTTTCCTTATTATCCAAAGTCACCACAGTCCATTTTAGTAAATATAAAAATATATGCTTAATACTTTGTACAATACTGGTTTTTGGTCCAAACAAAACTGGATCAGAAAAGCCAATAAATTCAACTTTAAGAATCCCCAATTTTTTTTTTAAAGATTTCCAAATGGATTTAGGCAACTTTGAATAATGGGATTTACATAATAAAATCTGAGACAAGACTAAACAAACAACAAAAAAATCTCTAACACAAAATTCAAATTTCAAGTTCACAGATTTATGTTATGCCAAAAAGTACAGAAACAAAATTGTATTTACACAAGTTTCATAATAAAATAATGAAAAAGGCAAGACAGGTGATAGGAGAATGAAAATATAGAAATAGCATATAATTATTAAATGGAGAGTGAACTAGATCTAACAAGTCCTTAGCACGGACCATTCTTTAATCAGGCTTCCTCTATCAGAAAAGTTTAGCGCACAATACACCCAACTCACTCACTTCACACATACACCAGCACAAACTCAGCATAGAAATCATCCGTTTCAACACTCTCTAATCTATACAGAATTCTAATCTATACAGAATTCCTCAGATATAATTACAATTTCAACGCGTTCCATGAACGCTTATCAGCGCACATAATGGTGTAGACAAAGAGGTTCTATACAAAGCCATTCACCGTGCAGGCTCCATTCCTGGGTACAGCCAGACTATGTCAAATCAGTGAATAATCTGCTGGATCATAAAATATTTTTGCTGAAGAATCAGTCACCAGTCTAGCTATTTATTTATTTAAAAAAGGGTGGGTGAGGCAGGGTGGGGCTTCTGTAACGAAAGAGAAAGGAGGAAAATTCCAAAATTAAAGAAGTCCTTAGGCAGATCTGACTTCAGATAACCCCAGCACAAAGTACAATCCAGTATCTGAAAGCAGGGCACCAGCTGTTGTTAAAATTGAGTACAACACCAATGTGACCTTTATTTCCTGCGTCTAACAGCAGTCTTTATCTTGCGACCAGAGAATGAAGTTCCAGAAGAAGAGAACACATTTTTCCCATTTGACCTGTGAAAAATAAAAACTTCATAATGTGACATGATGCTCTGAGCAAAATTTCCAAATGCTAACATTTACCATGAGCAGCACAAGGGTAAGGGGGGTCGGGTGGGGGGGGAGTAGACTCACATTGGTATATACATTTTCTGCTACACCTAACACACACGCTACTGTTATTTTTTTCTCAAACTGTAATATAATCCTCCAGAATTATAGTATGGTAAATTTATGTTGGAGAACATATTTAATTTTACCCAAACCATACGGAATCTTGATGACTTTTAAAAACAAAACATATACATGCACATACCCTTACCAATGTAACTTCTCCATTTCAATAAAAAATTCTCTTACCCCACTGTAAATGCTGCTGGAGACTGGTTAAATGGAAAGCCCCCCGAGCCTGAAGGCTGGGCTGAGGCTGCAGGTGTGCTAGAATTTGCACCAAATGTGAACACTCCTGATGGACTGTTGTTTGTGAAGTTGAAATTTGTAGTGCTGCTGCCAAACTGGAAAGCCGAACCTGCAATAGTTAAAGCAGAAATACTTCATTAGGGCAAAATGATAGGTTTTTTTGTTTGTTTGTTTGTTTTTTGAGACGGAGTCTCGCTCTCTTGCCCAGGCTGGAGTACAGTGGCACAATCTTGGCTCACTGCAACCCTTGCCTCCTGGGTTCAAGTGATTCCCCTGCCTCAGCCTCCCCAGTAGCTGGGACTATATAGGTGCGTGCCACCATGCCTGGCTAATTTTTTGTATTTTAGTAGAGACGTGGTTTCACCATGTTGGCCAGGATGGTCTCGATCTCCTGACCTTGTGATCTGTCCACCTCGGCCTCCCAAAGTGCTGGATTACAGGCGTAAGCCACTGCACCCGGCCGCAACATGATAGGTTTTTAAATTAAAGACTCTGACCTTTACATATAAAAACATGCAAAGAATTAAAATATTCTGGTCTTTTAATCTAAAGAAAACTATTTTCTCCACTGACACATAGTACATACTTGACACCTCCAACAAATCACACAACTTACCTATGACCAAGGGGAAAAGGGCACCCTGGACTTATGGTTAAAGACAGTGAAATCAACAAATACACTTAGCTCTATCTTCTTTGAAAAGTGCATTAAAACAACAAGGGATTTTTACAAAGATATAGGTTTAGAAGCTGGAAGGCTGACTAGAGTTGATACTAAACGAGCAGTAGGGAAAGAACAGAAGCAATTGCATTTACACCAAACATACCCAAAATGTTTAGGTTCCAGATACCTATGGAAGTGAGGATGTAGTGGGAATTAAAAAAAAAAAAAAAAAAAAAGGATGGCAGAGTATGTTTAGAAGCAGATACCCAGAATCAATCCCTCCCAACACCAACACAAAGATGGTAATTATCAGTGGGTGCAGTGACTCATGCGTATAATCCTAGCACTTTGGGAGGCCAAGGCAGGTGGACTGCTTGAGCCCAGGAGTTTGAGAACAACCTAGGCAACATGGCGAGATCCTATCTCTATAAAAAATTTTTCAAAATTAGCCAGGCGTAGTGGCGTGCACCTGTAATCCCAGCTACTCAGGAGGCTGAGGTGGGAAGATCTTCTGAGCCTAGGAGGTCGAGGACGCAGTGTGCCCTGACTCTGCCACTGCCTTCCAGCCTGGGAAACAGAGTGAGACCCTATCTCAGAAGGAAAAGAAAAAAAAAGAAAAAAAAGATGGTAATTCTCCTCTTCCACCGCACCAGAACAGAAGTTTAGTGTTTTAGTCTTTGTAGAAGTGTCTGGACTGGGAGACACCACATACAGTTAAGGGCAAGAATATCATTTTGAAAACAGGAATTAAGTGTAGCTCGATATTCACAAAATACCGAGCGCTCCAGCCATCTTCCCAATCTTAGCTCCCAGAACACTGGCAAATGAAGTTCTCTGATACCCTCCATGCAGGAGACTGGATGCATCTTCTTTGGGGTATCTGACAGACTAAGTGAAAAGAATGAAGGATACTAACATCCAAACTTTCCCAAGTAAAATAATGCTAGATAAACCAGATAAATCTACAATGAAATTCAAGATCTGTAAGCCCTATCAATGTAGAAAGGATTTAAGTGGTATTTACGTGTCCTACACTCATAACAACTACAGGTAGCCAAGGAGTACCAGGCATTTGAGGACAGTATTTAATAAGAAACACTGAGACAAAAATAATAAAAGCAATTTTGGGAAAACTGACTCAGCAAAGAAACAAAATTTTAAGGAGAAAAATCTGAACTCCATATCTTTAATGAATACTTCATCCACTGGAGAGTTGGGTGGGGGGGAACCCAGAGGGGCATAAAAAGGAAACATCCAGAAAATAAAAAAGAATACTTAGAAATTAAAGAAATAGTGGAAGTTAAAATCTCTCTTTTTTTTTTTTTTTTTTTTAAAGATGGAGTCTGGCTCTGTTGCCCAGGCTGGAGTGCAGTGGCACGGTCTCAGCTCACTGCAAGCTCCACCTCCCGAGTTCACGCCATTCTCCTGCCTCAGTCTCCTGAGTAGCTGGGACTACAGGCGCCCGCCACCACGCCTGGCTAATTTTTTGTATTTCTTAGTAGAGATGGGGTTTCACCGTGTTAGCCAGGATGGTCTCGATATCCTGACCTCGTGATCTGCCCGCCTTGGCCTCCCAAAGTGCTGGGATTACAGGCGTGAGCCACTGCGCCCAGCAGAAGTTAAAATCTCAACAGAATGGTAATGAAAGATAAATCTGAGAAAGTATGACACAAAGACAAAAGGTAAGAAGGAAAGGAAGGATTAGGGGACAAAATCTTCAAATAAATAATTCAGGAAAATTCCCCAAAATGGAAGTTCACAAAAGAGCATGCTGCACTCCCTACACAAACGATAAAAACAAACCCACATCAAGACACATCCTGATGTATCAGAACAATGGAGGCAAAAGAGGAGAGTCTAACAATTCCAGAAAGAAGAAACAGGCCAAAGAGCAAAGATCAAGACTTCAGGCAACTCTGGAAGCCAGAAAAGTCTACAATGGAGAAATGCTTTCAAAATTATAAAAATGATTTCCAATCTACATCTATATTCAATCAAAATCTTACCAAACATGGGGAGAGAATAAAGATCCCTGCAGAGATGTATGGCCTCAATGTTTTCCATCCCTGAACCCTCAAGAATCACTGGAAGATGTGCTGTATCAGAAAATAGGGGAGTAACAGGAAAGACATGACACCCAGGAAACGGGTTCCTCTACGAAGCTAAAAGGAATCTCCAAAAGAATGGTAAAAAGAGGTTTCCCAAGAGCACAGTTAAACAGCAAGCCAAGAAAGCCTGGTAGGAGGAACAGGTTAAAAGACCCTGTGAGAAAAGTTCTTTCAGTGCTTACTTCAGCAGCACATACCCAAAACTTGAACAAAGAAGATTAGCATGGCCCCCTGCACAAGGATGACACCCAAATTTGTGAAGTGTTCTATATTTTTAAACTAAAAACTGATGAAAGAAATTAAAGAGAACACAAACAAATGTAAAGACATCCTATATTCATGGATCAGAAGAACTATTATTGTTAAAATGGCCATACTACTCAAAGCAATCTATGGATTCAATGCAATCCCTACCAAAAATACCAATGACATTCTCCATAGAAATAGAAACATATCCGGCCAGGCGCTGTGGCTCACACCTATAATCCTAGCAGTTTGGGAGGCCGAGGCGGGCAGATCACCTGAGGTCAGGAGTTCGAGACCAGCGTGGCCAACATGGCAAAACCCCGTCTCTACTAAAAATACAAAAATTAGCCAAGTGTGGTGGCACGCGCCTGTAATCCCAGCTACCCAGGAAGCTGAGGCAGGAGAATTGCTGGAACCTGGGAGGCAGAGGCTGCAGTGAGCCAAGATTGCACCATTATACTCCAGCCTGGGCAACAGAGCAAGACACCATCAAAAAAAAAAAAAAAAAAAAAAAAAAGGAAGGGAGGGAGGAACAAATCCTAAAATTCATATGGAACCACAGGAGTCCAAATAGCTAAAGCAATCCTGAGCAAAAAGAAAAAAGCTGAGGTATCATACTATCTGACTTCAAAATATACTACACAAAGCTATACTTACCATATATAGCTATATGAGACTGGTATAAAAAGACACATAGACCAATGGAATAGAATAGAGAATTCAGAAACAAATCCACGTATTTACAGCCAACTGATTTTCGACAATGATGACAAGAACACGCATTGGGAAAAGGATACTCTCTTCAGTAAATGGTGCTTGGAAAACTGGAGATCCATATGCAGTATGAAACTAGACCCCTACTTCTCACCCTATACAAAAATCAACTCAAAATGGATTAGACTTAAGTGTAAGACATGAGACCACAAAACCCCTAGAAGAAAACATAGTGAGAAATGCTCCAGGACATTGGTCTAAGCCAAGCTTGTCCAACCGAGAGGCCACATGTAGCCCAGGATGGCTCTGAATGCCGTCCAACACAAATTCATAAACTTTCTTAAAACGTGGAGATTTTTTTTCTTGGCAATTTTCTTTTTCAGTTCATCAGCTATTGTTAGTGTTAATGTATCTTGTGTTTGGCCGAAGACAATAATTCTTCCAAAGTAGCCCCTGGAAGCCAAAAGATAGGACCCCCCTGGCCTAGGCAAAGATTTTATGGCTAAGACATCAAAAGCACAGGCAACAAAAACAAAAATAGACAAGAGGGACTATATTAAACTGAAAAGCTTCTGCACAGCAAAAGAAGCAATCAGGAGTGAAAAATTTGTTGAAAGGGAAAAAAAGTTTGCTAACTATTCATCCAACAGGGGACTAATATCCAGAATACACAATGAGCTCAAAGAACTCAACAGCAAAACAAAAACAACCAAATAATCCCACTGAAAAGCGGGCAAAGGATCTGAACAGACATTTCTTAAAACACAACACACAAATGGCCAATAGACCTGAAAAAATGCTCAACATCACTATCATAAGGGAAATGCAAATCAAAACCACAATGAGGTAGCATTTCACCTCTTAGAATGGCTATTAGCAAAAGGACAAAAATTAACAACTGCTGGCAAGGAAATGGAAACTTACACACTGTTGGAGTGAATGTAAATTAGTATAACCGTTATGGAAAACAGTAAGGAAGTTTCTCAAAAAATCTAAAAATAGAATCACCTTATGATCCAGCAATCCCACTACTGGCTATTTATCCAAAGGAGAGGAAATCAGTATATCAAAGAGACACCTGTACCTGATGTTTAGTGCAGCACTATTCACAACAGCCAAGATACGGAATCAATCTAAGTGTCCATCAACAGATGGATACAGAAAATGTGGTTTAATATACAATAAAATACTATTTGGTCATTAAAAGAAAATAACATCTTGTCATTTACTACAACATCTATGGCACTGAAGGACATTATGTTAGGTGAAATAAGCCAGGCACAAAGACACATATTCAATGTTCTCACTCATGTGTAGGAGCTAAAAAACAAGTTGATCTCATAAAGGTAGAGAACAAATGATGGTTCAGAGGCTTCGTTGGGGTGGTGGTAGGAAGGGAAGGTGGTTAACGAATACAAACATATAGCTAGATAGAAGGAATAAATTCTAGTATTTGAGAGCACAGTAGAGTTAACAATAATTTATTGTACATTTCAAAATAGCTAGAAGTTCTGAAATGTTCCCAACACAAAGAAATGATGAATGTTCAAGGTGATGGATATCCTAAATGCCCTAATTTATTACACATTGTATGTATGTAACAAAATAACACATCAGTTTTTAAAAATGAAAAACTTTAAAATATTTTTTTAAAGTTTTTCATTTTTATCAAAAATGCTTTTGGATTATTACTAAAACTATATTTCTATGTATGACAAAAATTAATGCTTTGTGTTTTCTGTGGGAATGACCTTCACTAGACTTTGTAGCATGGCTTTTCTTTTGTTTTGTTTTGTGTTTTTTTGGACAGTTATGCTGCTACCCAGAGTCAAGAGTTTTCTAACATCTTGGCTGGGCACAGTAGCTCACGCCTGTAATCCTAGCACTTTAGGAGGCTGAGGTGGGTGGACTGCTTGAGCTCGGGAGTTAGAGACCAGCCTGGATAACATGGCAAAACCCTGTCTCTACAAACCACGCCCCCCTCCAAAAATGAAACAGATGGGTGTAGTGGTGGTGTCTGCCTGTAGTCCCAGTTTCTTGGCAGGCTCAGGCAGGAGGATGGCTTGAGCCCAGCAGGTTGAGGCAGTAGTGAGCCGAGATTCCACCACTGTACTCCAGTTTGTGCGGCAAGGTGAGACCCTGTCTCAAAAAATTTAAAAAAGGATTTTCTAACATCTTTACTATCCAGGTCTACCTTGTTATAGAACTGAGAACCTCAACCCTAAAATGCTGTCTTTCCCCAAGTTTCAACAACAGTGTGACTCTAATTTTTAGGGCCTCTGTAGCCTTTTCTCAATTCTTTAACTGGAAGAAAGATCTCCTAAAATTGACTTTTTCTTTGTATTTAGTTTATAAAATTGATTGCTCTTTACATAAAAAAAAAATAAAGAGAGGAAGTCAATAATGTCAGAGAAACAAATTTTGTATAGGATAGAAAGTTATAGTATACCATATGGCTCAGCAATAATCAGCATTTCCATAATCAGAATCCTGATCTAACCTTACAGTGTCTCTATATTAAGCAGATAAAGGCTGGGCGTGGTGGCTCACACCTGTAATCCCAGCACTGTGGGAGGCCGAGGTGGGTGGATCATGAGGTCAGGAGATCAAGACCACCCTGGCTAACACGGTGAAACCCCATCTCTACTAAAAATATAAAAAATCAGCCAGGTGTGGTGGCACGTGCCTGTAGTCCCAGCTACTTGGGAGGCTGAGGCAGAAGAATCACTTGAACCCGGGAAGCGGAGGTTGCAGTGAGCGGAGATCAAGCCACTGCACTCCAGCATGGGCGACACAGTGAGATTCTGTCTCAAAAAAAAAAAAAAAAGACGATGACAACAGAGGAAAATGTTACCTGTGTGAAAGAAATAGAAACTTTCCAATTTCATATTAGAGGAAAAAATCCTGATCAAAATGGTTAATGTATATCAGAAAACAGGAGAAATTTTGGTATGTACATTAGCTGACAAAGTACCAATATCCAGAATACATAAAGAACCTCTACAAACTTACACGCAAAAGCCAAACTGAAAAATGGCCAAAAAAAAAAAAAAAAAAACCTTTTAAAACAATTTACACACATGAGAAATCAAATAGAACCCACATATAAGAACTCATACAATGGTGGTAGGATATGAATTGGCAGAATCCATCAGGAAAAGTTTTTATTATCTTCTAGTATAAGATATACAAACCTTTTAATTCAGCAATCCCATGCCACTGTATATACTCTAGAAAAACATACATATGTGCACCAAGGTACATATACAAGAATGTACAGAGTAGCATTTCCTAGTAGTTAAAAACAACTGAAACATATGTCAACAGTAAATAAACTGCAGTATATTCATACAATGATTTACTCTATGGCAATGACAATAAACAAACTATATGCAAAACATGGATGACCCTTACAAGCCTTAGAGCAAAACAATCACAAATCAAAAGACTGCATGCAGTAATATTCCATTTATATAAAAGCAGGCAAAACTACATTTTCTAGGGATGCATCTATTAGCCAATAAATGCAGTAATAAAACCCAAAGAACAGTGATTACCATAAAAGACAAGGCGGTGGTCATCATTAGAGTGGAGAAAGAGAGGAGTGTTTTCAAAAAGAGATACATGAGGGGCTTCCAGGTGGTTGTTATACAGCATTTGCTTCAATATTACACTGTTCACTTATATTTTACACCCCTTTCTACATAATATTATATTTCACAATTAGAAAAAAATCAACAACAATTTTAAGAAAATATAGGATTATAATACAATTTGATTAGTCATATTTAAATATGCAGTTCAAATGGAAAGGCTGGTATCATCAGTAAATAGAAAGTGTCATGAGACAACTCAGCGGGACTGCCCCAGGAGAGAGCACTGGACCTGGGGGTAACTTCCTAACGCAAATCCAATCATAAACAGGATCAGAAAATGCACTTCAAAGCTAGCCTTGCAAGCCCAAAAATTCA
This sequence comes from Homo sapiens, assembly GCF_000001405.40. Taxonomy (NCBI): domain Eukaryota; kingdom Metazoa; phylum Chordata; class Mammalia; order Primates; family Hominidae; genus Homo; species Homo sapiens. The sequence continues at coordinate 17,624,290 of NC_000006.12, forward strand.
AAGTTGAGAAGAAATGAGAGTGAATGAATCCCATACTTAAGTCAGAGTAAAAATTAACACTTTAAAATACATTACTACCTTAAAAAAGTTACAAGTCTGTGAAACCTGCGAATGTTGTTTATATATAAATCCAACCATATTACCTCTCTATTCTGCCAAGTACAAGAGATAATTTTAAAATTAGACATATGAATGGTTTCCAAGCTCAAAGGAAAATATTTTAAGACACACAAAACCCATACAGATACTAACAGCATCACAGCACACTTACTAGAATTAGGAGTTGTTCCAGAGCCAAATGCAGACTGACTAGGTTGCTGTCCAAACACAGGGGGCTGGCTACTGCTTGACACTGTCCCAAAAGTAGGTGGTGCAGGCTGAGAACCAGTGGGAAATAATGCTGTGGAAGATGATATAGATCCAAAGCCTGGGGGATTGGGCTGGCTGGCACCTTGACTTTGTCCAAATGTTGGGGTCTGGTTAGCACCAAATGCTGGACTGGCAGATGGTGCTGAGGGTCCAGTTCCAAATACAAAGGAGGATCCTGGAGGCCCAAAGAAACACTTAAGTCACCATGGTGGCTAATGTCAGATTATCCTCAAGAAATTTCTGTAAACCCACAAGCAAATGTCAAGCTTCGTTTCAGACTCTTACCTTGCTAACCAAATTCCATCAAGACAAGTTTTAAATAATGATTGAGAATACAACGCTCTCTACCATTATTTAGTGAAACATACTAAATTCATATAAACAAAAACTGCAATTAACAACTACTCCACACCTTTACAGCCGACAATTTCTGGTAAAGGAACATATCTCAGAATAATCTCCCACCAGAAATTTAATGTGTGCAGAAATTGCCTCATGATGTGCATATATACATTGCATAATAAAGACTGATGTTTAATAAAACAACTTCCAGTGTCTGGTTACTGACAACCTAACATTTTAAAAACAAAGCTTGGGGCCAGGCACAGTGGCTCACACCTGTAATCTCAGCACTTTGAAAGGCCGAGGCGGGCAAATCATGAGGTCAGGAATTCGAGCCTGGCCAACATGGTAAAACCCCATCTCTACTAAAAATACAAAAATTAGGTGGGTGTGGTGGCGGGCACCTGTAATCCCAGCTACTCAGGAGGCTGAGGCAGGAGAATTGCTTGAACTCGGGAGAGGCAGGTTGCAGTGAGCTGAGATTGCACCACTGCACTCCAGCCTGGGTGACAGAGCAAGACTCCGTCTCGAAAGAAAACAAAAACAAAAAACAAAGCTTAGAAAAATTAAGTATTACACTCTTACCACAATTAGAAAAATTGCTCCCAAGAGGTAAATATGTTAAAGTTGAACACAGAGAGTGTACATTATTCCATACAGTGAATAATTAAAACAACCCTGGTATAGATGACCAAAAGGCATTCCCACCATTTTGTGATAACCTGCTATATGATATTCGCTAAGAACTGACACACTAATAAGTAAAGTCCATCCAATTACAATGCATTTTTTCTTTTGTAAATGTACCTGCAGAGCTAGATGTGGTTGTGGCTCCAAAGCCGAAACCAGAGGTGGTAGTATTATTACTGCTGGCTCCTGGACCAAAGACAAATGGGGTGACAGCTGTACCTGTGCTGGATGTGGTTGCTAGTTTGCTATCTTGAGAAAATAGCAAAGACTGAGAGGTGCTGGATTCAGCAGTGTTACCAAAGGCAGAGCTGCTCACAGGATTGCTGGACTGTCCAAACACAAAGGTAGCCACAGGTGGATTGGAGGAAGAGGTGGAACTACCAAATATGCCACCACCAGCAGAAGTGGCTGGTGTACTTGAACTAGAGGAACTGTTGTTCAAGAAACTAAAAACTGGCTTTGCTGCACCTTGATCTGTAAGACAGAAATTAAGAAACAAACATAAATCCTTAAGAATAGTCTCAGAAAGTACTTTTTCCTACCCTACAATTGCTAGAATTTTCCTACCCTAGAATTCGCTAGAAAATAGATTTTTTATATAGATTACTTCATCAAATGGACATCTGTTTATATTAGATTTTGACAAAGTCAAATACATTCATCTTCTTTTATAGCTTATGGATTTTAGGCCTTTCATAGGAAGGCCTTTGGCATTCAGGTTAATAAAAATACACCTCGAATCCAAATCTAACTGGATACTGTAGTTGAATAGCAAGCTTAGATAGTGGAAGACAGCTGTACTTTTATATGTTTTATTTTGCAATTTATATTACAGTATGTGGCAAAATCATAACTTCAATTTATCTAAATGGATAGCCAAGTTTCTCCACAGCATCAACTAGTACAGCCTTTGTGCACTAATTTGCAATGCTGTCTTTATCACACACTACATTTCCTAAAATGCATATACTTGTTTCCTCTACTGTTATCACTAGACTGTTTTAATTATTATAACTTTATACCATGGACTGATATTAGTAGGACAAAGCTGCCTGTGTGCCTGCCCTTCTTCCCAAAATTTCTTGTGTGGTTTCCTTTCCATGTGAATTTTAGAATAAGTTTAGCTTGTCAAGCTCTACAAAAATTCCCCTAAGAACTAAAATTATGGGAGGAGGAAGGGAATACCTTCACCCAGCAACAAGTATGCCTTTTGTGTTCTTTTAGTTATTTGGCATGTTACAAGTTCTGCTGCTTTTATAAAATACAAGTTAGAAATGTTAGGAAAAACAAATGAGACATGCTGATTTGAAGAAAAACTTTTGATTTTTATATGGTGATTCTGAATCCAGCCACCTTATTGAAGATTTTTTTCTAAACTATTCCAATAATCTCTCAGTTCCAATACCGCACACTATCCAGGGCTGGTCACAGTACACTATGGGCATTAGTATGACTTACAGAAAATGGAACATGTTGGCTTACTTTCAACCTGGCTAATGGAAGAATGGTTAAGAGTGTCTACCATAGCCTGGTGTTTTCATCATCAAATCTGATTAGACCCTATCATGTTTTTGTTGCTTTCCAAATAATATGTAATTTTAGTTTTGATTTTGTCTTTATATTTCTAAGTAAATATATAACAGACAAAAAACTGCTCATAGCTATTTGTTGAATTCCATACTTTTTAAAGGTTAATTTTGAGTGTTTCCAATTTATTATTCAAAAGTATTCATGGATATTCAACTTTTGCATTTTTTGCACATCTAAAAACATCTGTATTTTGCCTTTGTGTTGGTGTTTTTTTGTTGTTGTTGGGTTTTCTTGAGACAGAGCCTTGTTCTGTTGCCCAAGCTGGAGTGCACTGGGCCAATCTCTGCTCACTGCCACCTCCGCCTCCCAGGTTCAAGAGATTCTTGTGCTTCAGCCTCCCGACTAGTTGGGATTATAGGTGTGAGCTACGGCACCCGGATTGTCTTTATATTTAAACACATTTGGCTAGTAACAGAATTCTAGGTTCAAGAACATTTTCACTTTAAGGGCACTGTTGTTTTTAGCATGTGATGTTACAAATTAGAAGATGATGCTAATCTGATACCTGCCTATTTGTGGCAAATAGCTTTTCTCTCTGAAAGCATTTGGGGTTTTAGCTTTGGTGTCCTAAATTTCAGTGATCTTTGCCAATAGGTAATTTCCATTTTTAAGACCAATGTCTTTCTTTAGATCTAGAAAATTTTCTTCTGTCACTTCTTTGATATTTCCCCAAAACTTCTTATCTTCTAGGCCACTCCTATCCCAAAGGAACTTGTGGATCTAACTTGGATCACTCTTTGTACTGGTGCACTAAGTTTGGGGAAATTCTAGTTCACTAATCTGATTATCAGCTATGAAGTTCTTCCTGCTATTCAGCTCACAGAATGACTTTAATAGGATCCACCAACAATCATGCTTTTAACCTTTAAGGTGCTATGTCATTTTTTTCCCCAGGACTTCAGCTTTCAAAATCTCTTGTTTTCTCAGGATTAATTATATTTGTTGTCTATGTTTCTTAATGTTTGATGAGGACTGGTTATCTGTAACTATTTGTAAATAAAGGCCTTCCCATAGATTATGGTAGAAAATACTTCATAAGCTAAGAATCCTTATTTTCCAGGTAGTAGATACCAATTCTGATTATAAAAGCCCAAACAGAAGAGAAAGACACACATAAATATGCACTATATTGAGCTTTGCATTACTGCTGTATTTCTCAAAATTAGATCCACAGATGACTTCACCAGAATCATGAGGGTTTTAAAGAGCAGTTCAAACTGAAAATCCTAGGTTCCTTCCCAAAGAGTTCTGTATTTCTCAACTATGTTCAGTGTAAACCATTAATTGACTTGCTGCATCTGTCAAGGCAACTTGTAAAACGACAACTTGTAAAAAAAAAAATAATAATAATAATAATAAAAAGTTAATACTTACCAGCTGTAGTACTAGTTTGAGCTCCAAAGGCAAAAGTGGCTTTTGCTGGCTGTTCAGATTCCTTCTCAGATGGTTTTGTCATACTAAAACTAAATGTGGACTTTGAAGAATTCTCATCTTTGGTTTGCTCTGAATTCCCAAAGGAAAACACTGGTTGACACTTTGGCTCTTCATTGTCAGCTTTCTTCCCAAAAACTAGGGAAGTAGAAGTGACAGGCTCTTGCTGTTTCTCTTCTGTCCTTCCCAAAACAAACACTGAGGCAGATGGCAGAGAGGCAGGCTCCACGTTGCCAAAAGAGAATCCTCCTTTGGTGGCAGGCATTTCTTCTTTTTTAGCTTCTGATGTCTTACATGTGAAAGGAGCCACTGAAGCACTCTTGGTTTCTATGGTTCCAAGGTTGAAGCTGCTCTTGTTCTCAGAGGTCACTATGGTGTTAGCAGGAGCAGGGGTGGAGTTAATAACACCTGTACCAAAGCTAAAACCTGCAGAGGAAGATTTGGGCAGTTCCTCTTTCTTTTCTTCCTGTCCAAGATTAGATACCCCAAATTGAAATGGAGTTAAAGAAACTGGGTTGCTTAAACCAGAAGAAAGTCCAAACTTAAAATTATCATTCTTACTATCTTTTTTAACTTCTTCGGGCTTAGATTCAGATGAAACTCCAAATTTAAAATCTCCTATTGGTTTAGAAAATTTAAAGCCTTCACTCATGGGGTTTATAGACCCAGAATCGGATGACACACCTATTTTGAATCCTCCCTGATCTCCAAATTTAAAATTTCCAGTGCTTGTTAAAGTCTGAGAAGGCCCAGAAGAGGATGATGAGACACCAAATTTGAAGGATGAGGAGGCTGCTGAGTTCGAAGATGAGGAAGATGTGTCAAAGCCTACAAAAATATAAAAGACACCACATAGACACTCAATGTACTGATCCTCTCAAACAAAATGTAAACACTGTGAAAGCCAAAGAAACATAGGAGTAACTTTGAAAGGGCCTACTTTGAAGAGTATTACCAGCAGCTGTAAACATAATCCAAGGTGACCTATATTTAGTCGGTATGAGAATGATATCTCAATCCTCACAACTATCCTGACAAGCCACTTTTCATTTATCAGACTGGCTGCGATAAAGTTTGATAAAGTTTGTACTAGTGATGAGACTGGAAGTAACAGGCTACACATTGCAGGTGGGTGTATAAATGAACACAAAACTCATAGAGAGCAATCTGTCAATAGTTACCGAAAATTACAAATGCATATACCCTTTGACCTTGCAATTCTATAGCTGGAGTTTGTTTTAAAGATAAACTCATAGACATGCAAAATGCCATATGCAATCCAGGCAGCTATAAACGAAGAAGGAAGAACAAAGATGTGTCCAAGATAATCCCTGATAAAATCAAAGGGGCAGAAAGGGAGTGCGGTATACAGACTTTTCTAACAAGGTAAAAGGAAGTAAGAATATATAGGGGTATGTATGTTTGCCTTGGATGGGCATAAAGAAACTTTGAAAGATTTACAAGAAACTAACCACAGTTACATTTGGAAGTGGGAGGGAAGGTGGAAAAAGAGACAATGGAGAGAAGAGATTGAACCTTGTCACAATTTCTTGATTTTTAAATCTTGTGAATAAATGTGTTATTCACTCAAGCATTTAAAAAAGGAAGGCAACAGAAAAACAGAAGAATTACAGAGTTGAAGCAATGTTTATAAAGTTAAACATCAGACTGGGCGTGGTAGCTCACGCTTGGAATCCCAGCACTTTGGGAGGCCAAGGCGGGCAGATCACCCGAGGTCAGGAGTTCAAGACCAGCCTGGCCAACATGGCGAAACCCCATCTCTACTAAAAATACAAAAAAAATCAGCCAGGCATGGTGGTCTGTGCCTGTAGTCTCAGCTGCTTGAGAGGCTGAGGCAGGAGAATTGCTTGAGCCCGGGAGGTAGAAGTTGCAGTGAGCCAAGATTGCGCCACAGCACTCCAGCCCGGTCAACAGTGAGACTCCACTTCAAAATAAATAAAGAAAAGAAAACAGAGGAGAGCAGAGGAGACGGGAGACGAGAGGGGAGGGGAGACAAGAGGGGAGAGGGGAGGGGAGAAGGGAGGGGAGAGGGGAGAGGGGAGAGGAGAGAAGAGAGAAGACAGGAGAGAAGAGAGAGGAGAGAAGAGAAAAGAGAAGAGAGCAAGCATTATACTGACAAGATCAAAGTCTTGGTTTCATAATGCTTTTCTGCAGCTAAGGAAATCAGAAATGAAGTACTTGACCTACTGGCTCAAAACAAGGATCATTAAGAAGTACTAAGATACTTAAAAGTATGGTGATTACCACACTACAGGTAGAGAACAGTATAAAAAGGGGAGCATGAATTAACAGCTACAGAAAGAGATAAAATGAACCAGAAAGCACAAACTTCTAAAACACTTAAATGCAGTGTTTTTCAAACTGCTAGTTGTATACCATTAATCATCAATTAATTTAGCAGGCTGCAACCAGCACTTCTCTTTTAAAATAAAATAAAACAGAAAATACCAGGGAACCTTACACCTACCAGAGGCAAGTATTATTTTGCAAAACAGATTTCAATCATATAGACATATACGCTGTGCAGGTGATGGCTCACAATATAAAAGGTTTATTCCTGACTTTTGGTTTGCAATCAAGAGTTTGAAAGCTAATTACAAAGTAGATAAAGCTTGCTATTATTTTTGTTTAATTTGTATAAATTTAAGGATTACCAGTGCAATTTTGTTACATGGATATGTTGCCTGGCAGTGAAGTTTGGGCTTTTAGTATATTCATCACCCAAATAATGTACATTGTGCCCATTAATTAATTTCTCATCATCTACCCCCCATCCCATCCTCTCACCGTTCTAGGGGTCTACACTCTGTCCACTGAGTACACTTTATTTAGCTACAACTTATAAGTAAGAAGATGAAATATCTGTCTGAGTTGTTTCAAGACATTAATCCTCACACATTTTCTCCTTGCGGGCTTACTCTTTTACAGAAGACTTGAAAAATCTGGCCTCCAGACCAGGCGTGTTGGCTCACGCCTGTAATCCCAGCACTTTGGGAGGCCGAGGCGGGTGGATCACGAAGTCAGGAGATTGAGACCATCCTGGCTAACATGGTGAAACCCCCGTCTCTACTAAAAACACAAAAAATTAGCTAGGCGTGGTGGCAGGTTCCTGTAGTCCCAGCTACTCGGGAGGCTGAAGCAGGAGAATGGCATGAACCCAGGAGGCGGAGCTTGCAGTGAGCAGAGATCGGCCACTGCACTCCGGCCTGGGCGACAGAGCAAGACACCATCTCAAAAAAAACACAAAAATCTGGCCTCCAGTTAGTTTAGGATTAATTACTTTGAGGGAGTCTTCCTTTGTACTTATATAGTAAAATATTAAGAGTTCTTTTCCTGGGACCTACTTTGGGAAACCAAAGCCACAGCCTGTATCGCTTTTAATTTAGAGGTGTATTCCCAGTCAAATAAAAGTCAGTAAGTTCATCTGGGCGCGGTGGCTCACACCTGTAATCCCAGCTACTTGGGAGGCTGAGGCAGGGAATTGCTTGAACCTGGGAGGCGGAGATTGCAGTGAGCAGAGATCGCGCCCCCGTACTCCAGCCTGGGCAAAAGAACAAAACTGTCTCAAAAACAAACAAACAAACAAACAAAAAAACAAACAAACAAAAAAACAAAGAACAGTTCACCTAGGGGGCTAGCAGTTAAAAACAAAAAACAAAAACTCTCTGAGGCTCAATGACACAAGAAATTTTTTTTCCCACCTGGAGAAAAGATACCTCACTGTTGACAAGCAACTAATATGACCTTACAATATTCAGAAACAGATATAACTAAAACATCTCAGGATAATCTCATTTTATATTAATTTTCAAGAGAGAATGAGTGAACACTGAAGCTGTTCTCAAATACTTCATTTTTAAATGGCCTTACAAAAAGGCGCTTTACCATCACCTTTATTTTTATTTTTTTGGCCTTACCTTTAAACCCAGATTTTGTGCCTGGCTTTGCACTTTCACATGCCAAACATTTGGTAGAGTCTGCCTTATTCTGCACTAGGCACAATTCACAGTCCCAGCTTCCCTCGGGTTTCTTGAACTTTTCCAATCCTAGAGAGCCTCCAGAAGGCAGAGAGACAGGTACAGTGCTGCTACTTGAAGCAGGTACTGAACTTCCTAAAAAAAAAAAAAAAAACGGGGAGTGGGGGGAGATTTCATGAAAATTTTAATTTACAGTATGTCAGTATCTTAATGGCACTGCTAAGTTTAAGTGTTCAGTTTCTAATAATATTTCCTATTAAAACACAGAATGTGCCAGAAATAGACAACTGTTCATATTTACATTGTTTAAAAAAAAGAATAGACCTCTCTTTTAACCTTATAAATGATTTCTTTTAACCTTATAAATGAGCAGCTCATAATCACCTTGCTCACTGGTGAGCTCCCCCTTAACCACATGTTTGAACTGCTGTGGTTTAAGAAAAAAAATCATGCTCGCAAATTAGGGGCTCAAAGACTAAATTTTTCTTAAGAATCTTTTTCAAATTTCTTCAAAGCAGCAAGCATTCTAAGACATAAGATGTAAATTGTAGGCAATATCCTAACATATAAAATACACAGCCACAGACCATATGAATTTCAAGATTTGAAAGCATAGATCTCTGCCTCTGAATGATAGCTTTTGCACAGAAGTGCATCTACTTCACATCCACTTCACAATCTAACTTGACACCTACTACATTCCTGACATTTGTTACATGCTAGCCATTTAACAGACATTTATTAAGCATCATAATATACTTGGGTTCTGGGGACATTAAAGATGAATAAAATGTTGCTTAACTTGTAAGATGCTCATGGTCTTAAAGGGGGAAAATAAAAGCACAGTGGCACCATCACCAAGTGACAACCTAAAACAAGTGTGCAAAGAAGGAAGAAATGACTAAGAGGCAGGAAAAGGATACACAGAGGTGACAAATCTTAAGCAAAACTAGCATGTTTGTGGGAGAGGTGGCACAGGAAGAACGGCTTGGTAAGGCCCAAAATATAGTGCTGACAGTGAAGCCATTCATTCTGGTATTCCTACTTCTCTAGATGGCCTACAACTGTCGCCACCTCTTCCATAGTTACCTAACTGATCTCTACATTTTATAGGTATGTTCTCTTCCATCTTGCCAACCAAATTGCTCCCTGGGGTTCCATCTTGGCCCACTGTCCTCACAAACTCTCATTTACTCCAGTGGTTTTTAAATCCCCAAAAAACAGTTTCCTAATCTACACCTGCAATCTACACTTCTGAGCTTGTCACTGTAGTCTCTTAGTTGGTGACTCCACTGTCTTACTTGGTTAGCTTGGCTGGATACTCCTCCTCCTCTACATTTTTCTCAAATCTATTTCAATCAATTTCTGACTCTTCTACTGCTATTCTGGTTCATGAACCCCCCCCATTACTCCCACCACTAACCCATCTCTTGCTTGAGTAACAGCTTTTTTATTGAGACCTCTGATCCTGTTCCTTTGAAATCCATCTTCCTCTGAAGCAACCAGTGCCATGTAGTTTTTGTTTTTCCTTTCTGGTTGCACCTTTTTAAAAGATTAACTGTTCAAAAGCTTTATTCCTGCCACTCCCTGTAAGTTAGCGGACTTTCATTTCAGGCCATCTTGAGTGAACACACTCAACTCTACTCTCATGACTTCAAATATCAAAACTATGGATTAATGACCCCAAATCCGTATCTCCACCCAAAGGGTGTATCCAAAGGCCTTACATACATTTTTTTTTTTTTGAGACAGAGTCTCACTCTGTTGCCCAGGGTGGAGTAGAGTGGCACAATCTCAGCTCACAGCAACCTCCACCTCCCAGGTTCAAGCTATTCTCCTGCCTCTGCCTCCCAAGTAGCTGGGATTACGGGCATCCACGACCACGCCCAGCTAATTTTTGTATTTTTAGTAGAGACAGGGCTTTGCCATGTTGGCCAGGCTGGTCTCAAACTCCTGACCTCAGGTGATCTGCCTGCCTCAGCCTCACGAAGTGCTGGGATTACAGACGTGAGCCACCATGCCTGGTCACATTACATACATCTGAATGTTGACTTCAGCAGCTTGAAATCAACGTCTTTAATTTTATGTCCTCCATTCCTTATTCAGTTCGATCAGTACATTATCTATTGCCTGTATCAGCAGGGGAGGCGGGGGTGGTCCAATCTTTTGGCTTCCCTAGTCCACACTGGACAAAAAGAATTGTCTTGGACCACAAGTAAAATATACTAACACTAGCAACAGCTGATGAGCTTTAAAACAAATTAAAAAATAAAAAAAAAAAATAAATCGCAAAAGAATCTCATAATGTTTTAGAAAATTCACAAATCTGTGTTGAGCCTCATTCATAGCCATCCTAAGCCACATGCAGCCCACAGGTTGCACAGCTTGGCTTATCTTTTTTTTTTTTTTTTTTTTTTTGAGACGGAGTCTCGCTCTGTCGCCCAGGCTGGAGTGCAGTGGCATGATCTCGGCTCACTGCAAGCTCCACCTCCCAGATTCACACCATTCTCCTGCCTCAGCCTCCCGAGTAGCTGGGACTACAGGCACCCGCCACCACACCCGGCTAATTTTTTGTATTGTTAGTAGAGACAGGGGTTCACTGTGTTAGCCAGGATGGTCTCAATCTCCTGACCTGGTGATCCACTCGCCTCGGCCTCCCAAAGTGCTGGGATTACAGGTGTAAGCCACCGCACCCGGCCTATCATTATTTGAGACAGGGTCTCACTCTGTCACCCAGGCTGAAGCGCAGTAGCATGATCTCAGGTAACTGCAACCTCTACCTCCCGAGCTCAAGCAATCCTCCCACTTTGGCCTCCTAAGTAGCTGGGACTATAGGCGGGTGCCACCAAGCCAGGCTAATTTTTGTGTTTTTTGTAGAGACAGTGCTTCACCATGCTGCTCGGGCTGGTCTTAAACTGGGTTCAAGCAATATACCCGCCTTGGCTTCTCCCAGTGCTGGGATTACAGGCGTGAGCCACAGTGTCTGGCCTATTGCCTATATGATTGATACCACTTCCTAATCTATCTTCCGGTCTCCAAATTTTTTTG